>NC_000008.11:15314648-15617678 GCF_000001405.40 Homo sapiens | reverse complement strand
AAGCTGTACACAAATAACATACTCAAGTTATTTTTGTTTCTCACAGAGGTATGTATTACCACTTCTGTACTTAATGAGTACACCATAGTTGAACAAGTAAGTAAATATACATCTGGCTTTGTATCACTGTCAGAGAAGAACTCACAAATAAGGAAAGGGGGAGGGCCAGAATGCATATTGTGACGTTGGACAGGAGTTGGAGGCATCCATATTAATGTGTGGCTTTTTAAACAGGAATACAGGCCAGGCGCGGTGGCTCACGCCTGTAATCCTAGCACTTTGGGAAGCCTAGGCGGGCAGATCAAGAGGTCAGGAGTTCGAGACCACCCCGGCCAATATGGTGAAACCCTGTCTCTACTAAAAATACAAAAATAAGCCAGGCGTGGTGGCACGAACCTGCAGTCCCAGCTACTCAGGAGGCTGAAGCAGGAGAATCACTTGAACCTGGGAGGCGGAGCTTGCAGTGAGCGGAGATCACACCACTGCACTGCAACCTGGGCGACAGAGCAAGACTCTGTCTCAAAAAAAAAAAAAAAAAAATATATACACACACACACATTTTACAGATAGATACAGAAACAAATATAGACTTGTATGAGTGAGTGGATTAGTGTACATCTATTTCCTCCCTCTGTCTGCTGATTACACAGGATTCTTTCAAAGCCACTTCGCTAGCCGGAAATCTCTGTGGCCAGCAAGCAGCGCCTCTGATCAGGCTTTGCTGGGCTCATTCTGCCCACTCGGCCATGCTGGTCTCATGCTACTGGCCCAGATTCTGTGCCAACTGCAGTTCTATGCTTGGCCTGTGGCTGGGCCAGGCATGCGGCGACCTGCTTCTGACTTGGAAATCGACATCTGGATGAGGGGAACGCAGCGGCACCCAAAAACTCAGAGATGCCAGCAACGGCAGAGCACCAAGGGGTGTTAGGGCTCTTGCTCAGGGAGTCTCGAGGTCAGAGCCCCCAAGGACTGTTGTAGCGCTCTCTCCTTCCTGCCACCCACAGCACAGCCAGAATGAATGAAAAATATTTCCAATTGAGCTTGATAGTTTTAACATATTTGAATTTATTTTAAAATCAATAAAACAGATTAATTTTATTTTAAGATGAACTCTCACTCTGTCACACAGGCTGGAGGGCAGTGGTGCTATCTCCGCAAATTACAACCTCCACCTCCCAGGTTCAAACGATTCTCCAGCCTCAGCTTCCCGAGTAGACTGATTACAGGCGTGAGCCACCACGACGGGCTAATTTTTGTATTTTTAGTAAAAACGGAGTTTTGCCATGTTGGCCAGGCTGGTCTCCAACTCCTGACCTCAGGTGATCCACCCGCCATGGCCTCCCAAAGTGCTGGGATTACTGGCGTGAGCCACCACACCTGGCCTGATATTCTGAAACACATATATAATATGCAAATTTCTAGGAGTAAATTTTGTATAAAAATACATGTCACTATAAACTTCTAAAACAGAAATTAGTCCCTATTGAAAAAAAGCAAAAAAATCAAGATCTCTACTTTTATTCTTTAAGAGTCTTCATTTCTGAACCTATTCCTATACCACACTAAATTATCTACTTTTATTATACCTTCCTACTCTGTTATCGACCATTAGAACTTATTCCTACACCAGCCTGGACTGCAGCACAGTGAGGCCCCAACTCCACAAAATTTTTTTTTAAATGAGCCAGTCTTCATGGTGTGTTCACGTGGTCCTAGCTACTCAAGAGGCTGAGTCCAGAGGATCACTTGAGTCCACAAGTTCAAGCCACGGAACTGTGGAACTTATTCCTTCTATCTAACTACATGTTTATATCCTTTAACCAGCCTCTCTTCATTTTTTCATTTCAGTACTTATGGGTTTAACTCATTTTTGTAGTATTTTAGTGTATAAACGTCCTGTATTTTCTTTTTTCCTTTTCAGTTGACAGGCAATAATTATACATATTTATGGTAGAGAGGGATATTTCTACATACTATACAATATGTAATGATTTAAATCAGGGTAATTAGAATATGTATCACCTCAAACATTTATCATTTCCTTGTGCTGTGAACATCTGAAATCCTCTCTTCTAGATTTGGAAAATATATAGTATATTAGTGTAAACTATATTCACCCTACACTGCTTATAGAACATTAGAACTTATTACTCTTATCTGTAATTTTGTGGCTAAATAACCTCTTCCTATCCTCCCCTCCTGCCTACTTTTCCCATCCTCTAATAATTGTAATTCTACTCTCTACTTCTATGAGCTCAATCTGGTTTTTGGTTTCTTTTTAACTCCCATATGAGTGAGAACATGTGATGTTTGTCTTTTTGTGCCTGACTTACTTCATTTAACACAATGTCCTCTGGACTCATCCATGTTGCTGTGAATGGCAAGATTTCATTTCTTCTTACAGCTGAATAACATTCCATTGTGTATATACAACACTTTTGTTATCCATTCATCTATTGATGGACACTTAGGTTGATTCCACATCAGGGGTATTGTGAATAATGCTTCAATAAACATGAGAGGACAGGTATCTCTTTGATACACTGATTTCCTTTCCTTTGGATAAATAACCATCATTGAGATTGCTGAATATTATGGTTGTTGTATTTCTGGTTTTTAAAGAAATCTCTATACTGTTTTCCATAATGGCTGTACTAATTCACATTCCCACGATGAGTGTACAAGAGTTCCCTTTACTACGCGTCCTTTTCCGAATTTTGGGGTGGTTTTTTTTTTTTTTTTTGGTCTTTTTAATAACAGCCTGAATAGCTGTACTTGTATACTTTCACTATATATAAAAAGTAAATTGGAAATTTCAATTCTAACCCAAGGAGTCTGTTTCATATATAAATTATTATGTAACTATATCCTTAGCAAAAAAGAATAATAATCCGGCATTTCACAGATTACTATGTCCAAGGCAATTTACAAATTTGTACAAGCATGACTTTAAATTTAAATGTCATGAAAACTTAAATTTTCATCAACTGTTGAATGGATAGACAAAATATGGTAGGTCCACACAATGGAATACTGCTAGGAAATAAAAAGAAGCCAACTTGTAACTGCCACGACATGGATAAGCCTCAGGAACATTATATTCACTGAAAGAAGCCAGACATAACAGACCACACATTTTATTCTCCCATTTATATAAAAAGTCTAGAAAGGCAAATTTATAAAGACAAGAAGTAGATAAGCAGTTGTCTGGGCCTCAAGGTAAGAACAGGGATTAACTGTAAACAGTCACAAATATCTTACTGAAGAGATAAAATGTTCTAAAACTGATTTCTAGTGATGGTTGTACCACTCACTAAAGTTACTGAAAGTCATTTAATCATACACTTAAATGAGTGCATGTTAAGAAATGTAAAACATACCTACATAAAGGCTAGTGGGCATAAGTGAGCCTCATCCAATACTAAAGACCCCCATCTCAGCCTAGACTCAGTGTTTCCATGAGGTGATTAAAAAAACAGAAACCTTAATTAAAATAATATGTGTTATGGCTAATGCAGAGAAAATACTTAGTTCTCTCAGAAACACAATTTTGGTACTAAATAATCTGAGAATTCTCAAGTCTTTAGGGGAGAAAAAAATAATTTTCTCTTCTATCCTTCATGGAGTTCTTAACTCAGACCCCCACCGAAAAAAAAAAAAAAATAACAAAACACCAGAAGCTTCACAAATGTATACTTCCTGTACACATGGGAGATAACACAGGGAAAATGAGTGAATCTCTAAATTAGATCTCAAAGGCCTAATTCAAACTTCTCTGTTTGGGTGTCCCTTTTGGTCTTCTGAAGAAAATTATGCTCATGAATCTCAGCTCCCTATTCCCAGTGAAGAATGAAAGTTGGGTCAAAAAAGTCCATGCTTAAAGGGAATGTTAAAGTTAAAGGAGAACAGAAATATCTATAAGATGGAATATAATACAACTCTTACAAAACCTGAGATAATGCTATATGTATTTGTATTAGTCTGTTTTCACACTGCTAATAAAGACATACCCGAGACTGGGTAATTTATAAAGGAAAGAGGTTCAATGGACTCACAGTTCCACATGGCTGGGGAGGCCTCACAATCATGGCAGAAGACGAAGAACAGCAAAGGGACATCTTAACATGGCAGCAGGCAAGAGACAGCATGTACAGGGAACTTCCCCTTCATAAAACCATCACATCTCATGAGACTTGATGTTTGTAAAACTGCATGGGCCAATGCATGGAAAACTCTTAGCACTGCATCTTACAAATGCTAAGACACTCAAATTTCTTTTCCTTTTCTTCAGGTCATGATCTAACAACAACACAGATCACATTGCTAAAAGAATTATCTGCAGTGGGAATTTTTTAAATCTCATTAATACCTTCAATCTCAGAGTTACCTAATGTTTCTGAGTATTACAAGAAAAGCACTGTGCTAAATTTACTTAAAAAAAAAAAGCACTGTAAGACATGTTACATGAATCCCATTGTCCCCAAATTTGGCACAAATAAGACAGATCCTACTCTCAAGCCCTTAAGGCAAATAAACTCTAGCACTAAAAAGTGTCCATGTGTACACACACACAAACACATATAAAATACATATATATGATATATATATATATATCATATATATAATATGGCTTATATTGATATGCGATGGCTGTAGCTCTGCTCTTAAGTAAACGGCTTAGTGCCAACTCAGGAAGGGATGGTAAAGAATATATTGTTTCTGTGAACATTAACTGATATTGTGGCTCCTTTAAATTCACTGCAGAAGATTCTGAAGTCTAGACTGGTCCGATCAGTGAAGAGTGGGTGATCGGTTGGCTTTGTCTCTTACTGATACAAGATGGGACATACAGTCCAAGATGCCATAAATCTGTCACATCAGAAAAGGAAAAAGAAATCTGTAACTTAGAATCTTCAAAAACAAAACAAAACAAAAAAGCCCCATCCTTGTTACTTTATAAAAAACAAAGGTTAGAAGGTCACATCTATGAATGAAGTTAATAGAATCAGTCATAATACGTTCAGATGCCCATTCCTCTTTCTTATATTTTTTCCTTCTTGTATTTTTATCTTAACATTTTATGAAGGCTTAACTTTATAGCAACTCAGTATAATAAACAAGCTGGCATAATCTATATACCAGTCTCCAAATTATGACACCACTCCATTTTTTCTCAATTCACATTTTACTACAATAACCAATTTATAACCAAAAATACAAGAAATAGTACATTGCATTAAACAATACGTAATACAATGGTTCATTCCAAAGTGAAGCTTAAATAGAATAAGAGCTCACTAATCTCATATTTTTTACTCTTTCTTGTTTGTTTGTTTGTTTCAACATTTTATCCCTAGGAACATGACCAGATGTACCAAGGCAAAAAGATATGTGGTCTCATGTCTTTAACCAAGATGCCTCTGCCAGGGGGGCAGCTATTCACGTGTTTGTTTACCAGTCACATATACAGTACTTATTCAGGTACCTGCTATCTGAATAGCAGGTACTCATCAAAATAGCCATAATAAAACTTGCTTATAGTAATTCACAGCATGCAGATCTGGAATGAGAACAAGACGTACATGTTGAAGGTATCAACTGCTAACCCACAGAAACAATATCATGACCCCTTCTGTTCTTCTTATATTTTTAAAGGAGTCTCTAAGAGAACAAGAAGCCTTTACTTTTCAAGACTCTAATATTTAAGGAGTTCAATGAAAACCCAACGATAAACCAAACATGAGCAGCCAGATGCATATCGTTTTGCATTTAGTAGAAAAGTTATCTTCCATGTTGGAAATTCGATCTTAAAAATCTGTATTCATATTTCTTAATATTATGTCATACTTAACAGATTTAAAAATATATAAAGGGCAATTAATGCTTCTAGGAACCAAAAAATCAGAGATTAAGCACTATACCACCTCATCTACATTACAAACTGATAGTTCAGTAAAGACCACCACTACCTTTAAAGGCACTCAGAAGACCACAATGAGCTATACAGTAAATTAAACAAATACACCATTTTTATCAGAAATATAAAATGCATACAGCACACACGCCATAAAGAAAGCAAAAATTCCAAGAGGTTAATCAGTTAAGAACTCAGCAAATCATGGTCTCTCTAGAGATAATGTAATCAGCAATCCATCAGAAAACAATTATCATTACATTCAAAAGCAAAAAGGTAGCCAGGTACGATGGCTCACGCCTGTAATCCCAGCACTTTGGGAGGCCGGTGCGGGCAGATCACGAGGTCAGGAGTTTGAGACCACCCTAGCCAACATGGTGAAACCTCCTCATCTCTACTAAAAATACAAAAATTAGCTGGATGTGTGGCAGGTGCCTGTAATCTCAGCTACTTGGGAGGCTGAGGCAGGAGAATCGTTTCAACCTGGGAGGCGGGATTTGCAGTGAGCCGAGATCACGCCATTGCCCTCCAGACTGGGAGACAGGGCAAGACTCTGTCTCAAAAAAACAACAACAGCAACAACAAAAAAGTTCTTTGAAATATTTGATACAGAACACTATAAAAATTAAAGAAAGAAATACTGTAAAATCCCAAACCAATTCCACCTCTGGGAAGATCCTAAAGACCTTTTGTTTGTGTAAAGTTATCTAATGAGAAATAGAGAAATTAAGTTATTCTAATATCACACTTTTTTTGAAAAAGAAGCTTTCAGTGGACGGTACTACAATATTCAATTAAGTGAACTTTTTCTAGAGACATATTAAAAATAAGTCCAGTAACACTCTTTTAGTTATGTGTCTATCAACCTGAACTCTCCTCAGAAATTTTCCCTGAGGAGAGATCCACATTTTGACCATCTTTGTACCCCGGAGAGCATCCTGAACACTGGTGGCTCCTGAGAGGCCCTCAAGCCCTCCCTATACCTCTACTGAATGAATGGAAAATTTGTAAAACTTTTACGCTCTAATATAGGAATTGCTAACACAGTAGCCCTATTCAAATGTCACTTTTTTAAAGGGGTTTACTTCAATTTGCCAGTCTCTTTGCTCTATTTATTCTCTGGTTCAAAGGCAAAAAAGAATATTTCGAAGTAACAACTGTTTCCGAAACTTGCATATGTATCTCACTTATATATAAAATCAGTATAACAATAAGAACTTAAGAATTGCTGTTGCCAGATGTTAAATTAATATTCCAAAGATTTAAAATAAATCAAGTTTGCTAGTATTTCCTTATTCATAAAAATTAATAAAGGAAGCAGTGAATTCACAGAAACACATCAACATTAAATTCTACATTGAAAATACCAGAAATGTTTCTCCATGAGAAACTTAACTACTCCCTTGCAGCAATAATTTTAAGAATTCTAATGTTAGATGTTGCTATACCTTAATTTTATCAGCGAAAACATCATGCAGTATACTGAAATATTTTGCATTTGATACTTGTGGTAATAACAAAATCGGATCAATGAATGTATGGAATTTTATGGATTTCAAAGTATGCTATGAAATAAATCCAGTGCCTAAAACGCAAAGCCCCTCATAAAAACAACGATACAAAATACATTAAACTGATTATAATTTATTCATCATACCTTTCTTAATATACCTTAAAAATTTCCAAAAGAAAAATAGTTAAACCATATAAACATAGTTATGTGATCAACAGCAACAAAAATAAAAACAGCTAGGAAATAAAGAGCATAATAATACAATAAAATACCAGAGACTAAAATGAAATGTGGTGACTAGTAAGAAAATTATATCATAACAGTAAGTGGAAAGATAGAAGGTAATATATTCATAGTAATATATTAGTATCACAAAAGTGTATGTTTATTGATAAAGATAGGTCATAAAGTCATGTAAATAGTTGAAAATGGCCTTTTTTTGGTTTTGGGAGTTACTCTGTTTTATTTTTAATGTACAGTGAAAACATGTTTTTTTTTAAATGTTTGTTGTCCTCCTGACAATTTTTCACTAAAAAATTGCTTAAGTACAATACCCTACTATCAAGAGACAGTATCATTATAATGGGAATCATGATACTTTCTCTGAAGACTCAAAATATGAAGTCATTTTAATCAGGGACAGTCATCAAATGGGTCAAATGAGCTTCCCATTTTTTTTTCCACCACTGCATTAGCTTCTGTCACCATTTTTCTTGAACTCTTTCATATCCTTCTGTTGGACATTCATTTATAAATAAATATCTCATTTTAAAACAAGTACCAGATATAAGAAATGAGAGCAGCTGTTAAAAGCTTAGAAGAAAATCTACTTCCAGCTGTACACAGCCATCTGGCCTGCCTCTCTTGGGAATACAGATCCAGACAAGATGACTATTACCAGTGTAAATGAGTATAGCAGGTACTCTATTGTAGTAATACATTATATCATAAAATTATCTTGCACTGCTTTAGAAGTCATTGTGTGTAACTCTTCACTATTAATGGCCACATATTATGTGTCACAGCTGAAAAAAACTTTTACTAACAGAATGTGGCAAAACAAAACCGTAACTATACTCATAAATTGTAAAATTGAGTTAATTTTTTCAGTGACTTTATTCTTGATTCACACAAATCAGTCACTAAAATATGTAACGCTTACATCGTCAAAACAAAGAAAAATTCAATAGAATCCAACAGAAAATCAGCCAAGAGCAAAGTTTTAAATGTACTTTAAAAAATTTCCAACGCTTGTTTTTCATCAACTTAAACAGTGTTTAATTCTACCAAGTTTCTTCCAAATGGCAAGAGCAAGTCAAGTTTTTTGGGAGTAGAATCAAAGATTTCTTTTGGTTATTTTGTACAAAGGTATATGTATTAGTCAGTTTTTGCACTGCTATAAAGAAATATCCAAGACTGGGTAATTTATAAAGGAAAGAGGTTTAATTGACTGACAGTTACGCATGGCTGGAGAGCCTCAGGAAACTTACAATCATGGTGGAAGGGGAAGCTGGCACATCTTACATGGTGGCAGGCAAGAGAAGTGAAGTGAAAGCAAAGGAAAAACTGCCACTTTTAAAACCATCGGATCTCACGAGACTCACGCACTATCACAAGAACAACATGGGGGAAACCACCCCCATAATCCAATCACCTCCCATCAGGTTCCTCCCGTGACACATGGGAATTACAAATGAAGATGAGATTTGGATGGGGACACAGAGCCAAACCATATCAATATACAAAGGTAAAAATCTCCGAAGAAACTTCTTACATCACACTTCATGTGGAAGACTGAGTAATATTAGAGATAAGATTCTAGGCTCACCCCTAGCCCTAGGATGTCCCTACTATTGTTCAATTTATCCCTATAAGACAAACAACTATTTTATATTGGAATTTATTGTTTACAAAAAGCACCAATATAAAGTAACAAAGCAAGCAAAAAAAAACTAAGGAATTCAGTACACATTAAACACTCATGGAAAAGAGAGGAACCTCTTGAGGATAAAATATAACCAAGAACTCAATCAAAATAAGGAACTCAGGAAAAGAGAAGCTATGGATAAAATTCAGCCAAGAGGTGAATCAAAATCAAGAACTCAGGAAATAAGCTATGGTAAAAGCCAAATGTGAATATAGTGCTAATTAAATGCAAATACATTTAAATGTAAAACCAAGAATAAACTACTCTGGCATTTATTGTTATAGACATTCTCACCATTCTGGTTTGCTAAGGAAACCCCAAACTGCACTTGCTGTATCACTGCATGCTTATCAAAAATATTCCAGTTCAGGTAAATTATATGGGCATTCAAGATATGACACTTCATTACGTTCCATAACTAGACAAAGTAATTTATCAAATATTTGCTGACAGGGAAGAGAATTAGGGAGGAAATGTAAAAGTACAAAATTTCTACATTTTTAATAGCATATAGTCAATCAATACAGATTTAACTGAAACACAGTGCTGCTTAAAACAATAGTTCATGTTATGCATATTGAAGGAAGGACACTTTTCTCCAGCTTACTCTAAAATGCATTTAAAAAGACAGAATGATTGCTGATACATAAGATGGAGTTGCGATAAAGCAAGCACAGTCAATTGTTAATTGTGGAATCTAGGTAGTCGATATCTGGGTATTCAGTGTAAATTCTCTCAGCTTACCTTTATGTTTTAGAAGTTCATAATGAAATGTTAGAGGAGAAGTAAATTTTACTTAATGACAATTGTTTGTAGGTGGTGACATGTTTCAATAAAATTTTTTCTCATCTTTATTTCTATTTTGCTTTGTTACACTAAATTATTTTACAAATGTATGTAAACTATACACACACTTTACAAATGTATTATAACTGTAGTTTGTAAAGGAGTTGACTGTTTTGAGCCACTTAAAAGTTTCTATCACTAAATTATAAATTCTTGAGAGCCTAGAACTGTCTCTACCATCACTGTATGCCCAGTGACCAGGCCGGTGCCTGCCTCATTAAATAAATATTTGTGTAACTAATTAAGTAATGAAAAAAATGTACTGAAAATACAGAAATAGAATTAACACAGCTCTTTTCTGGTCCACACGTTTCCTTGGTTCAGACGCTCTCCCCCAACCATTTGTGGCAGGAGAAATGCCCTTTTTAAAACATTTGGGATTATGATCAGAGAGAACAGCACAGGGTAAAAGCTTACTACTGAAACTTGCGGGTAGTCTGTACATAAGATACCATCCATGTTGAATGCTAATATTAACTGGATTAAAATATTATAAAACATTGTACTTTGTTTTATAAGTATATATATACACATATACACATACACACACACACACACACAATGTTTTATTAAAAATACCACTGGAAAACGTAAGTTAAAACTGTACCAAGGGATACAATATGGCTATGCATTGGTAACATCTTTCAAGAAGTCACATTTATAATACATACGAAGCTTTAAATGTGTGTTTCCTTTAGTTCATCAATGCCATTTCTAGGAATTTATCCTAAAGAAATAATCAGACAAAGTACACACGTAAATATAAAAGGATATTCACTGAAGCACTGTTCATAATTCCAAGTATTTGGATATAATATTTATGCCTACAGAGAGGAATCTGATTACATCATAACATGGTATGAAACAAGACAGTATTATAGTTATTTAACAAGATGAAACAGACTTACCTACAAGAATATCCACAATTTGTGTGTGCCTATTCACTCATTAACTTTTTTACATACATGCTAAATATTTGAAATAATATAGAACAATGGGAAGGTTAGGGGCACCCACACAGTCAAAAATCACGTGTTAAGTGTTCACTCCCCAAAAATTGACTACTAAAAGCTTACTGCTGACCAGAAGCCTTACCAATAACATAGTCAATTAACACAGATTTTGTACATGTATTATATGCAATATTCTTACAATAAAGTGAGCTAAAGAAAATGTTATTTAGAAATCATAGGACAAAATACATTTATAGTACTGTATTGTATTTACTCATACTATAAGTTTCTGTCACCTGTTTACAAGATGAATCATCTGTTTAAAATGGGAGCAACCACAGGTACAGATCTCAATCTATGGTATCTATCAAGCAACTCAACTTTTTCTTGTAATGTCATGGCTTGTCTGCTTCTTGGGAGCACCTCCAGCATCCCTAGTGGCATTTTGTTTGCGTCCCATGGTGTTATTCAAGGTTTACACTATTACATTAAACAGAATGAAAAATACAGGAGAACCTCGGGTGATCACTGTTTACTGCAATATGCAACTCACTGGAGAGATGAAGGGCTCACATGGAGATGATCAGTGTCATAAGGCATTTTAAGTGGCTACTGCAACACTTAAGCTCACCCTAATAGCAACGGAATGCAGCTACGAAGTTATGACAGTAGCCTATAACGTACTACAGTTAATTTTATGCAGTTGTGATTTAATATGGCAACCTTATGTTTGTTTACATTTCCCTCAACTGCAAGTGGTGTCATGTGTGATTTGTAACTGTGTGTCTAAGTTTTAACAAGTTTTGACCTTTTTATAATAGATTTGTGTATATCTTATGGTACTAAACGATGAAAATAGACTAGTATGTATATACATTTTATGCCCTCTTGACAGACTTTTTTCTCCATTTTTTTTGGTATTTGTAAGGCAATGCAGTCCATCTTAGAATGCTTTCAAATTGTCACATATCTTAAAAAAATTTTCCAATATATTGATTTGAAAAAAATCTATGTATAAATAGACCCACGCAATTCATACCCATGTTGTTCAAGGGTCAACTGTGTAGCAAATCAATAATGGCTTCCTTCTACAGGAGAAGATAAATGGTTATGTTTATTTTTACTTTATGAATCATGTGATTTGAAATTTTTACCTGTGGTGCTTTATAAACAATAAAACAACAGTTATTGCCAGTTAGAGACAGTTTAAGAGACATGCAAAAAAAGAGTGACTAAAAGACAAGTAATTTTGATTCCTCTAGGAAAAGATATGAAACAAAGCCAGGTAGCGGCATGAGTTACTCTGTGCTTCTTTGCTGTTCCTATACTAATCTTCCCATCTATTGATTGATTCTACTCTTTTGGAAGCGATGCTCACTTCACGCTTGGGGTCAGGCTGCTATTTGAGAAAATGAGGATGTTTCATTATATTCTAACTTCCACAGTCACTACTACATTCATCTTTACTGACTAACACCTTAGTTCATTTCAGTAAAAATGGCCTGGAGTATCAGAACTTCTCTACAATAACCAGAGTTTTATGTATCTCTTTACCAAAAAACTGAAGAAAGCAATCCCAGATATTTCAAAACTAATTTAGTGAACCATTAGAGAAAAACAGATACAAGAAACCAATATAAGCCCAACAAATAAAACCATTTTCCTGGGTCTTGTAAGATAAAGTTTGGAGATTCTCTGGTAATAAAAATGCCAAATATAGAAAAAATGTAGGGCTATTAAGTTACTGCAGAATACCACAGTCCTAACCATATTCAGAGAGTTAACATTCTGCTACCATAAATATCAATGACTGTTCAAAGGCTTACTTTGACATTCTAAATAGAAAACCAAAAGGCAAGAAACACTTGGCATTAACTAGAAAACAATTAATTCGGTAATTATTCAGTAACCCATATGTACCTGAAGCAAATGACAAAAGTTAATCCCCTTTGCAACTGATAATCTATCTTGGTGCCACTTGTATTTTTATTAAAATATTTACAATAATTATAAGAAAATATTTTCTTGTTAATAACTACTATTTTGAGAATTTGGGGAACTATTTTAATGCAGAAAAGCACAAATAATAATAAAACAAAAACCCACGTACTCATCAATGACAATTATCATCGAATAAGGTCTGTTAGTTTGCAATCTATTTGGTTTATTTCCTAACATAAATAATTAAAATACTACAGGTACCTCTGAATTCCTTTATCCCATCTTACTTTCCCCCTCTTTTCCACTAAACTAAAAACACTGTTTTTCTCAAATCTATCTTTATGTGTATAAAGACGCACCCATAAACAGGTACATAAAATCAAAAACCATACAATAAAATGTTACATATGTCTTTAATTTGCATAATACTCTATCTCAATATCATACTGAAACTTTTAATTCAAACTTTTGTTTTAGAAACCTCTGCATATTGACGCTTATAGGTAAGTCATTTATCTGCATTGCTGTAGGGCACCCCATCATATTAATATATTACATTTTTCCATTTCTCTTAATAATGGTCACATAGGCTTTCTCATTTTTCTAATAAGCAATAATAGAATCATTATCATTATTCATGAGTAAAAGTCACTCTAAAAGGGTTCTTAAACTGGCATCTGTAAGTTCTATGATTCTAACTCAAGGAGGTGATAAACTTGAAAAAGGGGAAAAACATCTTCATTTACATAAGTCTGTAAAATTTAACATTTCAGTTATAAGTGGAGGCAAAAAAAAAATAGAATTAGCAGTCCCTGTGACTTGGTAAACCATAGGAATCGCAGGTACTTTCCTATTCCATTCCATTCATTGCTGATATCTCAAGACACAGTTCATGTTCATCATCATTTTGAACTTGTAATGGCTATCAGACCTGTCACTAAATTCTTGTTATAAAATTTCTTCATAAAAATATTACCATATCATATTTTTATATTGTAATAATGATATTTCAATATGACTATCTTTTATAATCCTATATATTGTACTTAAAAAATTTTTCTGCAAAGAAGTACACAGGCTTCATTCACCAGACTGTCAAATACGCCCACAGAATACAAAAACTTACTAACCAATTACAAGATATTGCCAAACTGTTTTTCCAAACTAACTCCTACCAGCAACATGTGGGTTCCCATTTTCCCACATACTTATCAACACTAACACTGTCAGACTTTTTGCATTCTGTTGCCAGGATGAAAAGTAACAAATAGCATCTCAATATTCCTCTAATTTTCATATCCATGATGTTTAATGACATTATACATATATTGTTTATTAACAACTCAGGTTCCAGTGATAAACTCTGATCAGATTATCTATTTTTCAATTGGGTTCTCTTTTCTTATTAATTTGTAGTAGTTCTTTAGTGGTAATTAACTAGTCATGTATTAGTAATTAACTACATGTGTGGCAACTATGATATCTTCTGTCTAGGACTTGACATATCAATTTACTTATGGTCTCCTTTGTCACACAGACTTTTCTTTTTTTACTGTGGTCCAATTGAATCCATTTATTTATAACTTGTACTTCTCTCAGTCTTATTTCAAAAGACCTTCCCTACCTTGATATCGTAAAATATCTACTAACATTAAAGTGTTATTAATACTTAGGTTTTTATTTTTTATTTATGTTACAAGGTAATAATCTACTTTTACTTTTCCATGGATCACTTTCAGTTCCTTTTTTCTTTGTATAAAAGGAATACAATTAATAACATGTGATAATAAAAATCGCTAATCTAAGTTAAACTCATACTACATATTAGGTTCCATACAACCCATATTTTGTGTACATATGTATACACACGTATACATACACATATATACACACACACACACACACACACACACACACATATAAATATTTTAATCTTCACAACCCCAAAGAGAGAGCACCTATTACAACTCCATTCAACAAGATTAGGCAATTTGCACAGTATCACAAAGACAGGTACTTGTGCCTGTCTGACTGCAAACCCCATGTTACTTACCTCACAGCTCTGCATTACTTCCTCCTTCCACCAAGAGAAATCACCTCTAAATAAACACAATACTTTTTACAAGTTGATGTAAAATGTAAGATGTAAAAAGTACAACCCATTTGATAAACTGTGGGGAAATAAAACTTATTTAGTATTTTTCCTCATAACTGTATTAAAATTCATGATGGAAGTTTGTCCAGACAAATCAAACTTTAATCATGTATTCTGCGCTAGAATCCACAAAAGCTAAATAGTTCTGCATGAACAACAGGCAATAAGAAAATAGATTTATTCAAAAAGGAAGGCCTATATATAGGCTGAGTATCCCTCATCCAAAATGCTCGGGAAGAGAAGCATTTTGGACTTCAGACTTTTTTCAGACTTTGGAATGTTTTCAGGATGGCTACTGACTGAGCATCCTTATTCTTAACATCTGAAATCCAAAATGCTTCAGTTAGCATTTCCTTTGAGCATCATGTCAGTGCTCACAAAGTTTTGGGTTTAGGGTCAGATTTCAGGTAGACATCGTATTTTTAGATCAGGGATGCTCAATTGATACAAATTATAATGTACAAATAAATGCTAGTTCTGCGTGTCAGTTAATTCTGGAAACTAAAAAAAAATACATAAATAACCACAATATTATATGAATATATTCTTATATAATATGTACACACGATACAAATATATCCATAAAAAACTGGTAGAAAGCAAGCCACAAAATCTCAAAACCCATAATTACTTCAGAAACTCAGGAAAGCTCTTAATACCATTCATTACATTAGAACCATTGTTACTATACATAATACCACTGTACATTTCTTTACTTCCTTCCCAGCCTCCTAAGATTTGCCTTGAACCTAATAATAAACCAATGGCCCTATTGCTACAGAATAGATTTTATAAATAGGTAATAAACTTAAGAAAAAGGTAACAAATTTAAATATAAATAATTATGGAAGTAACCCAGTTTCTACCCCTGATCAGCTGTGTGGCCTCCAGCTTATTAACTTCTAAAACAACCAAAAATTCTCCAAAGAAAGCATCTCAGTTTTGCTGTCATGTTTTGGGTTGCCAGCCTTTGCCACTAGAAGGGAGTCACTAATAAATTATTTCTTGTTCAGTGTGCCTGGATCTCTCCCTAGATCCATTCAAACTATAAACCCGTTGCTTTAGACACTTGGGCCTTCCATTTCTACTACAGGTGCATACTGGTCACAGAACAGTTTGAGGAAATGGTTTTTTATAGGCAACGGGGGGGAAACAATGCATTTTATAGACTGACAAATTCAAACATAAATTACCCAGCCATGATAATAAGTAAATTCAAATACTGCCTGTCAAAATAATACTCTTTGGAAATGAGTTTAAAACTCCTCCTACTAGAATCATTTAGGTAACAGACTAACCTTAAGCTTGCTACCTATGGATACTGTAACAAATCTGCTGACCTTTAACAAAGTTAATTCATATTTTACAGTTCTCTAGTGTTATAGCTTGCACTCTGAATTACTTGTACTCTTGATTTCAGTGAACCTGTGTATTTCTTCTGAGAAAAAAAATATTATTTTAACTAAATACAAAGTATTTAGCACAGTATCTGAACACATTGGCTCTCCATATGTACAATTATTATTATGCAATTTGGGTTCACCATTTCTATCGTTATTAAGCAATTTTACACTGATAGCACATTTAACCAATCTACAAAGAATAAAATTCCTTTATAAGCAAGATCAATAATGCTAACAAAATAAACATTAAAAAGTTTAGAATCTACAGCTAGTAGCTTAACTAGTTGTTGAGAGGGTGCAAGAAGAGAAAGTGATTTTAATTCTTAACTTACATGGCAAAACAGTACCTCATACTTTGTATCTTATAACCATTACTGAGTTACCTCCTCAAATGTTCGTGTATGTTTATCCCTCTCCCCTATCTCCCATCCAATTTATTTTAATCTGTAACCCACTAAGACAAAGCAAACAAGAATAAAACAGCATCTTCTATTTGCCTAACAAATTTAACGGTCACAATAATGATAAAAATGTACCAAGGAAGAGAAATTTACATACAAAATAAACTAAGAATCACTACCCAATTCTAATTTTCCTTTAAGTGGGTTAGGATTATGTTCATATTCTCTAAGCCTACTGACATCCTAATCAAACCTGTTTGTCCTTAGATGAAGCATCTCTATTTTTTATTCTAATTCAGTATTCAACATTTTTCTTAATTGCCATTACTACCACAACATTATTTTATCTTGCTGTCATTACAAAGGCCATAATTCTCCCTACTGTCAAATGGTCTTCCACAGACTACAGTTTTCTAATAGAAAACATATTTGGAAAATGAATTAGAATTTTATAGGACAAACAAATGCTTATAAAATAATTGTTTTGTTTTAAAAAGCATTGTCCATGTCCCCTCTACCACTTGTTTTCAACATCATACTAGAAGTCCCGCCTAATGCAGTAAGACAAGAAAATGAAATAAAAGGTACACAGATTACTAAAGAAGAAATAAAACTGTCTTTGTTTGCAGATGGCGTTGACTGTCTTGCAGAAAATTCAAAAGAATCGACAAGAAACCTATTGGAACTAATAAGTGATGATAGACAAAGTTTATTTGGAGAAGTAAAAGAGCCATTATAGCCAACCAACATTTAAGGAGAACAGACTTGGAGGATACTTCCCAACCTCCAACCTCAACATACACTACAAAGTTACAATAATAAAGACAGTGGGGTACTGGCAAAATAACAGATCAATAGTACAGAATAGAGGGCTAAGAAACAGACTGACATAATCAACTGATCTTTGACAAAAAAAAAAAAAAACCACAAGCAATATAACGGAGCAAAGAGAATCTCAACAAATGATGCTAGAACAGCTAGATATCTACATGCAAAAAAATGAATCTAGACTTTACACCCCTCACAAAAGTTAACTCTGTATGAATCAGACCTAATGTGAAATGCAAAACTATAAAACTACTATAAGAGAGCATAAAAGAAAACCTAGGTAACTGGGTATGGCGATGACTTTTTAGATATACCAAAGGCAGGATCCATGAGAGAAATAATAAGCTAGACTTCATTAAAATTCACTAAAATTTAAAACTTCTGCTCTCCAAAAGAAATGGTGAACGAAATAAGAAGACGACTCACAAACTGGGAGAAAATATTTGCCAAAGAGACATCTGATAAAGAACTGTTACAAAAATATACAAAGACCTCTTAAAACTCATCAATAAGAACAAAACAACCCAATTTTAAAATGGGCCAAAGACCTTAAGAGACATCTCACCAAAGAAGATATACAAATAGCAAACTAGCACATAAAAAGATCCTCCACATTACATGTCATCGGGAAATGCAAATTAAGACAATTATAAACCTATTAGAATGACCAAAATCCAGAGCACTGACAACATCAACTGCTAGAGAGGATGTGTAGCAGCAGGAATTCTCATTCATTGCTGGTAGGAATACAAAATGGTACAGGCACTTTGCAAGATGGTTTGGCAGTTTCTTATAAAATTACCATAATTTTAACCACTTGATCCAGCAAATGCATTCCTTGGGATCTACTCAAAAGGAATTGAACACTTAGGTCCACACAAAAACCTGTAAAGAGGTGTTGATAACACCTTTATTCATAATTACCAAAACTCAGAAGCAACCAAGACATCCTCTGGTAAGTGAATGGGTAAATAAACTGGTACATCCAGACAATAGATTATTCAGTGCTATAAAAAAAAATGAGCTATCAAACCATGAAAAAACATAGAGAAAACTTAAATGTACATTACTAAGTGAAAGAGGCCAATCTGAAAAGGCTATATACTGTATGATTCCAACTTTATGACATTCTGAAAAAGGCAAAACTATGAAGACAGTAAAAAGATCAGTGGTTGCCAGAGGGTGGAGACTGGAGAAGGAGGAAGTATGACGAGTTTTAGGGCATTATCCATTATAATGATGGATACATTTCATTAAACATTTACCCTAACCCACAGAATATACAACACCAAGAATGAACCCTAATACAAAGTACAGACTTTGGGTAATTATGATGTATCTATGTAGGTTCATGAATTTTAACAAATGTACCACATTGGTAGGAATACTGATAATGATGGAGATGACGCATGTGTGGAGGCAAGAGATATATTAAAAAACTCTGTACTTTCCTCTCAACTTTGCTGTGAATCTAAATCTACTGCAAACAAAAAGGTATTTTATTTTTAATGGTAAAGTATCATGCAAAATACGTCTAGAACAAGAAAAAAGCCAGAAGAAAAACTTTCAATGTACTAATTGATAAACATTTGGATGGAGTGCAAGGACAGGGAAGAGATAAGGTTCTAGATAATGACAAAGATCACATAAAACCCCAACTGGTATTATGCTCTGCAAACTCTGCTTTCAACCAGATTTACTCAACTGGAAACTCTTAAAGAAATAACTTGATTCTCAAAGCATTTATTTACGTTGAATCTAGAAACAACAAATTTACGTGAAAAGCAATTTGAAAATATCAACGCTAGGACACAGAATAAGTGTTGTGTGTGCATGCGTGTAAATATACAGATATAAATGCTGATCAATAAACATTTACTATATACTATTATCTAAAATTAAAGGACAATATTAACTAATGTTTTTCCCCATTACCAACTTAGAATTCCAAATGCCTTAAAAATGTAGGCCATACTCATTTCTGACCAATGATAAAGTACGGAATCATTAGAGGTCAAGAAATTAAGACTTAGCCATATGCTTTCAAGTATATGTCTTAATTCCAGTGTCAGATATCTGGTCATTTTCAAAGAACAAACTCATGAAGGTTTTGTTTTCCTAACTACTGTCAATCTAATATCAATGTGTATTTAGCTTACTATACATATCCAATGCTCAAAGCTTATACAACTAGTATTTTAGATGTTGTTAGTATTTTAGATGTTATTCATATTTTATAGGCTTGATTCTCTTAAAAAATGATTTGCAAAGAATTTTATTTAACTTAAAGCTCACTGTGCCAAAGGCAATAATTTAAAGAAAGACAAAGAAAAAATACATCAATGTTCTCAATAAATTAGCAAAGCATAACCGAAAGACATACATATACTAGCAACTAATATTTAAGAATGCAGTGTCCAACTGGCTCAAGAAGAATATCAAATTTACCTTGAGGAAAACTGTCCCAGATTACACTCTGATAAACCAAATGATACTGGTTTAGATCTCTTAAGATCTAAGGGCCACAGGCTTCAAAATCAGTGTAGACAGATCCTGAGTTGGACTGAGAGAAATTTAAATCACCTCCATTAAAATCTGCAGCAAATCTCTATCATCAAGTTAGCCTCTCTTTCTACTGTCATGATTCTGACCTTGGACAAGGTGCTACCTCATCTCCATATTCTATTTATCACTGTATCTCTGACCTCTTCCTACTGTACCACCCCTGCTGACATTCTCAGACAACAAGTCTGACTTCTGCTGAACTGACCCAGCTTTTCTTTAGCCTTCCACAACTAATTATTAACTTTCAACTGGTGCTACCTAACCAAGGTTTAAATTGGACTATTAACCTTGTCACCTGCTACACAGTATCTATCACAGCCTGCAGTCAACTATGTTAAATTAAGAAAGATCGTCTATTATTTGAAATAATAATTAAGTACAATTAGAACATTTATATTTCATAAAACATTTAGGGAAGGGAGAAAAAGAGTTATCAGTAACACTATATTCAACCCCAACCAAAACATTATATCCAATCAGTTCAGCAACATAAATTCTCTGAATACCCACACCACATCTCCCACTCTCAACACCTCTTTATAAATCAATTAAATAAAATCAATTAAAGAAAAATATAACTGTAATTAATATACGAAGACATTAACATAATAATAGTGTTAAAAATTAAGGTTACAACTTACAGTGTGCCCCACAGTATCTGAAAATTATAGTCATTCCTCAGTATGCACAGGGTATTGGTTCTAGGACACCCCACACGCCAAAATCCGCATATACTCAAGCCCTGCAGTTGGTCTTGCGGAACATGCATATAAGAAAAGTTGGCACTCTGTATGCAAAGGTTTTGCATCCAGGAACACAGGGTCTTTAGCTGCATTCGGTTGAGAAAAATTCTGTGTAAAAGTGGATGTGTGCAGTTCAAACCCATGTACTGTACTACTCTTACACGGCATGTTAACTGAAGTTCCAAATAATTTTTTACTAAAACACCCCTAAAAACATGGCATATTTTTCTTTCTCTGAGCAATTATTCAAATAAAGTAAACTTTTAAAAAGACAACCATTTCAAAAACGTCATATCATTATTATAGATGGATATATGTTCCCAATTAGAACTTGCGACTATAAAATAGGAAAGAATACTTAAATTTGTTAACGCCTCTTGTAAACTCATTCTGAGAAAATAAATGTTACATCACTTTAGATGAGAGACTAGAAAACTTTCAAACTACATGTAAGAATACTGGCTATAACCTTGGACCTATTTTACCCACAACCTTAATTCTGAAGTCCTGAAGAAATATGTTAAAGATATACCTTTGGGACCATTACTATTCAATTGGTCAAATCACTAAGTTCCTATGGCATACCTGGACCTTATGAAGACTGTCACTTTAAATCTTACAGTAAAGATAGCAGAAGTACAACTTGTAAGACAAAAAATTATCTTAAGTCTATTTTTATTTCCACACACATAGTAGAATTTTACTTCTTGAATTTTTGAGAAAATCTTACAGAAGTAGAAAGCTAAAATAAGTGCTACATTGTATTACACTAGGCTTAAAAATGACTTCCTCCCATTTCTCTTATCAATCTCTGGATGCTTTTGAAATAGCAACAGCAAATATACTCCTTCCATTTCTGGCCAAGATACAGCAAAAGCGACTGATTTGCCCACCCGCCTGAAACAAACAAACAAACAAAAGGAAACAAAACATATGTAACAGTTTTCAGGACGCTGGTCATCAGGATATAAAAGACGCTGATGCCTAAGAGACAGGGAACAAAGTGAGCCCTATGTCTGTTCCACCCTACTCCCTTGAGAGATTCAAGCCTACAGCACAGAGAGGGAGAGTACAGGCAGAGACCAGCTGACTCCTGAGCTATGGAAACAGAGCGGAAAGTCCAGGTAACCAAGGCACCTAGAATCACAGGGCAGAGTACTAAAGAGGAAAGATTTACACAAAGAGAAGCCTGGAAATCTAGAGATTCCCCTTGAATATTCAGCTGAGTGCTGATCAAATCCTATGTGTAAAGAAATTACCAGAGGCTGGGAAAAGTATCTATCTGAAAGTATAATGAGAACTACAGGACAGTTCTCCAAACGGCCTTAAGAGCCCAGCTTTCCGTATTTTTCTCACTTGCAGTTTGAGAATAACAAAGTGATGGGAATGCAATATTCTGAGAAAGGGAGGGACTGGTGGGAATAGCCCAAGTTCTGTTCCAGTCCCCCTTAGAAACAGGATGTCCTTCAGAGCTTTAGCCCAGAGTATCATATTGCCCCGAAGTATAAAACCTAGGGTAGACAACTTTCCAGGGTCCCTCAATTGCAGTGAAGATGACGCGCATCCAGTCAAAACTCCATCTGTCCCATGAAGTTTCCGTGAGCCGTGGGCAACCAGCAATGAATCCTAGGCTTCTGTGGTCCTTTGCTGCCTGCCTGTAAGTCATGAATCTGTCTTATGTAACTTGTTGCATAAAAAGACATTCCATCTCACCAAACTCAAGTTGATAACTAGTGTGCAGCGAACCTGATTCATAAGAGTAGTATCCAGCACTCACAGAGGACCAGTAATAGTGCCTGTTCCCACCAGCCAAATTGAAAAATCTCATAAGACATTATGTAGAGTATTCAGATGCTCTGGCAATAGTAGGGAATAATTATCCCTACACTGAATGTTGCTCCAATCCTGCCTAACAAATCTTATAATCAAGAACTTAAAGGATCAAAATACTTGCTTGCATCACAGCCAGAACAAACCTCAATGATAGTCACAGGAAGACAAAATTATCCAGTATCCAACAAAATGCACAATGCCTATGATCCAATTAAACATTTTGAGGCATGCAAAAAAGCAGGAAAATACATTCCATGATAGGAAAAAAAATCAATCGATCAAAACCAACCCAGAACTGACACTGATGTTAAAATTACCAGACAAGCACATTAAGCTGTAATCTACATGCTCAAGACATTAAGTATACAGATATAAAAAAGAGCCAAACTTCTAAAGATGAAAACTACAACACGTGAAATAAAAAATACAGCAGAAGGAATTAACAGCAGATGAAAAGATTAAACTGAAGCCATTCCAAAAAAAGAATCTAAAATAAAAAAGACAAATTTAAAATTGCAGCGAACTATGGGACAACTTTAAGTGGCCTATTAAATGTGTAATTACAGTAATATACAAGTCTGGGAGAAAGGGTATACAAGTAGTATACAAGTTGGGGAGAAAGGATACATAAAATATCTCATAATATAGTATCGTTAGTACATGCCAAAGTTAGTTATGCAGAAAGAGTGACAGGGACATAGAGTGATTTTAATGATCAGGGAAAACTTTATAGAGTAGATTAATGCTTATAGCAGATCCTCACAATTAACATTCTGATTGGTGAAGAAGAAAAAAAGGAGATGGCAGCAGTTAAAATGCAAGGAAGAGAATATGAAAGGAGGGACTGGACGATGGTAAACAACAGTGCACAGAGCATAAAGAATCAAAGAAAAGGATCTTGGATGTAGAAAGGGAAAAACTGAAAATTAGCAAAATAATTTCAATATAATGGTAGAAATGAGGAAAGACTACAAGAAATGAAGGCACAGATAACAGACTTATGAGGGAAAAATTATGGCTATGCGGATTACAATTGTATTATTAAATTAATCTTTGTGACAATACATGGCAAATAACTCAAATGGTTTCAACTTTAAACAAAGTTTAAAAAATAACAATGAACTCAGAATGTAGATGATGTATACATAATTATTAATGGCTCACTTGGATATCTCAGTGGAAGTATATAATAATGCTCTAATCATGGTGAAAACACAGGCCATATTATTTTAGTAAGTGATAAACATTGTTTAAAAGCACACTAATATACTGACCGGGTGTGGTGGCTCAGGCCTGTAATCCCAGCACTTTGGGAGGCCGAAGCGGGCGGATCACCTGAGGTCAGGAGTTCGAGACCAACCTGGTAAACATGGTGAAACCCTGTCTCTACTAAAACTACAAAAATTAGCCAGGTGTGGTGGCACGAGCCAATAATCCCAGCTACTCAGGAGGCTGAGGCAGAAGAATCGCTTGAACCCAGAAGGCGGAGGCTGCAGTGAGCCAAGATCACACCACTGCACTCCACCCTGGGCAACAGAGTGAGACTCCGTCTCAAAAAAAAATTTTTTTTTAAAAAGCACATTAATATATAATAAAGAGTTTATGTTAAATATTATCTATAGGCTAATGAATCCAAAAATGTTCATACCCCCAAACCTGACCTTTCCTCACACTCAAAATTCATAAGCACTATAGCTAAGTGGTTTGAAGTGCATGGGCTCAAGAACCAAAACGCCTGAGTTTGAGTCCTGATGACAACACTACTGGCTGGCTAGCTTAAGTAAAATAATTCATCCTGCCTCGTTTTCCTCATCTTTAAAATGAGGATTAAGGGTACCTGTATCACATGTTTGTTGTAAGGCTTGAGTTACTACATTTACAAGAACTCAGAACAGTACTGTTTTGGTCCATTTTGCATTGCTATAAAGGAATATCTAAAATTTGATAATTTATAAAGAAAATATGTTTATTTGGCTAGCAGTTCTGCAAGCTGTACAAGCATGGTGTCAGCATCCGCTTGGCTTCTGATGAGGCCTCAGGAAGCTCACAATCATGATAGAAGACAAAGGGGGAGCCAATGTATCACATGGTGAGAGCGAGCAAAAGAGAGTTAGGAGGAGGTGGCAGGCTCCTTTAAACAACCAGCTCTCACATGAACCAACAATGAGAACTCACTTATTACCACAAGGAGGGCACTATGTCATTCATGAGGGATCCACCACCATGACCCAAACACCTCCCACCAGGTGCCACCTCCAACATTGGGATCACATTTTGACATGAGATTTGGAGCGGACAAATATCCAAACCGTATCAAGTGCTATTCACACAGAAAAAGCTTAATAAGCATTAGATGTTACTGCTATTATAGTATGCAATTGTCTGCCTTGAGAGCTACACTGTTAAATGAATAGGAAAATTTACAGATCCAAACTGAATTTCTGACTTCTTTTCAAAACCTATTCTTCCTCCACTTTTTCGCATTTTACTAAGTGGAAAACAACTATTCAAGTCAAGAATCTAGGAAGTATCTGCCATTACCTTCCTTCCTCATCTTCTACATCTCCAAGTCCAATGAATAACTTTCCTTCTCTTCTTCCAGTCTACACTATTAGCTGCCTAGTCAAGCCATCAATATCTCTTACCTAGACTACTATAGCTGCCTCCTGAAGGCTTTCCCCATTTCCACTTGTTTTCTCCCATTCTTCCTCTGCATTAGTGGAAGAGTAATTACTTTAAAATGTAAAAGAGATCATGTCACCTCCTTGATTTAAACTTTTGACCATCTACTCTTGGCACTTAAAATAAAAAGTAAACTTCTTAACATTACTAAGAAGGCGCTACAATGTTCTGGCCTCTGCCTACCACTCCAATCTTATTATAACCACTTTCCCCTTGGCTCACTCTGCATTATAACTAGAATATTCCTCCCCTACACAGAACTTTTGTGTCTAGAAGATTCTTACTTAAAAGTCAGATCTGCACTGAAATGTGGACTCCACAAGTCAAAAATAAAGCTTTTCCCAATCACTCCCTCACAACAATCTATTATTTTCCTTTAACAGCACTTTATGACAAATAATATTTATACATTTAACTGTATGCTTACTCGCTTGATACTTCTGTCTTCTACTAGAATTACCATTGACAAGAAATATTCACATCTTGCTCATAATATTTCTCCAGAGTTTTGTACATTGCCTGTTGCATAGTAACTACCCAACAGATATTTTGGTACAGAAATTAATAAATGAATAGATTAAACTTTGTCCAAAAACCTATTCTATATGACATGTTTTATAGGAGAAAGCCTAAGTGAGGATAACTTTTTAAATACATAAATGTAGACATAATAAACCCTCAATTTATCCAAACCTTTAAAAATTGAAAAACTATTTTAATAAAAAGTTATTTAAATAACTAATTTAATTAAAACCCCAAATGATTAAGCTGAAAAACACCCAGGAATGATCTGTTCATTTTTGGCAACTTTTAAATCTTCAAATATTTTTTCTGAAATAACCAAAAAAAGGACCTAATGATGCCAAAAATAAAAACAACTACCATTTGTTCACCACCTCCTATATGCCAAGCATCACACTTTCTTAAAAGTACTTTAAAGAACTCAGCATGGCAAAGATTTCTCCTACTTCTTTATATCAGATCTGGCAAAACAAATTATAGGCTGGTTGCAGTGCCTCAAGCCTATAATTCAAGCACTCTGGGAGGCCAAGGCACACAGACTGCTTGAGTCCAGGAGTTTGACACCAGCCTGGGCAACATAGCAAAACTCCGTCTCCTCAAAAAATACAAAAAAATTAGCCAGGCACAGTGGTGTGCACCTGTTGTGCCAGCTACTTGGGTGGCTGTGGTGAGAGGACTGCCTGAGCCCAGGAGGTAGAGGCAACAATGAGCCAAGATTGCACCACAGCACTCCAGCCTGGGCAACAGAGCAAAACCCTGTCTCAGAAAAGCAACAAACAAACAAAAACCAATAATAATAATAAATAAATAAATAAAAATAAATATTTATAAATACTTTGAAGAATCCCCCACATAGAGCAACATGGCAGAGTGGTGTTCAGGGAAATTCCTTCTATTCTAGAACCTCTAAAAATAGTAAATAAAATTCAAAACAAAAATTAAATGTTAATGGGGGAATTGGCAAGAAAGAATTTATTTTCTTAGATGCTGGGAGAGAGAAGAAAGTTAGAAGCCGGAGGAGAAAGAAAACAAAAGCTAATGTTCACTCATGACGTCTCTCACTAGGCATGATGGCCTAAAGCTTGGGTTTTGTATAAGAAGAAGCCTGGGTTTGACTTTGCCATAAACTGTCTTTGCCATTAACTGGCTATAAAACTTCTCTGGAGATACTCTGGAATTCCTCATCTGCAAAATTAAAGACTTAAAGACATAAAGGCCTGAAACCAGAGCAGAGTGAAAAGTCCAATCAGAAACTCCTGTGTAAAGCATTAGCAGGCTGTACATTGGAATTATCTAAGATAATTTTAAAATATCCATAAATGTCATCTATCACCTCTGTTACAATACAATTTGTGACCTCCTAAATACTAAGTCAGATGCTTTTAACAGAATATTAATAGAGTGGGGCCTAACTCCAAATTTAAATGGAATTTTCAGAGAAGCATTATGAAATTACAGACAAACATTATAAAGTGAAATCTACGCCTACCAAAAAGATCAAGTCTACATTAAGTTAAGCTGAAGTTGATCCGTTCTTTCCTACTCTATCCTCACTAGGGATAGTGAGAATTTATACTTATTTCGAACTTTTCCAAAAGAAGTTCTAGAATCAGAATTTTGTTCATGGCTTGGCTCAACCATTAACTCACTTTTGGTAGGACACTGACTATATTACTTAAGTTGTCTAAGGCTGTATGCTTATTTGTAAGATGATAATGGTTATAAATGATGTACAAAAAACAAAATAATCAGACATGCATTTTTTTCTTTATACTGTAAAGATGTTTTAAAAACTTTAAGAACCTAATTAATATAGGTTATAATAGCATTAGCTTAAAGATCTAGTACATTACTTATAAATTCCAATGTGGCAGCAAGCTAATTGTCTATCTCAAGGCAAATTTAACATTAATTTAAAATTTAAATTGTAATTAGCTACTATTAACCTCATGTTAAACCCCTCTTTATACTATACTTTTCCTTCCTAAAACTTCCATCTTTATGTTTCGAATTGATCAATTTACCAAAATTGCTCCACATGCTAATCTTAACCTATGCTATTGTCTACAACAGTGCTTCTCCAACTTTAACATGCGTATGGATCATTTCAGGATCTTGTTAAGATGCAGAGTCTGAATCAAAATGTAAATAGTTTTAAATTCCCCAATTAAAAGTTACAGACTGGATAAATGGATTAAAAACACAAGATCTGGACGTATGCTGCCTACAAAAAACTTGTGTCACCTGTAAAGACACATATAGGCTCAAAGTAAAGGTATGCAAAAATATATCCCACGTAAATGGAAACCAAAAGGGTGTAGGAGTAGCTATATTTGTATCTGACAAACAGACTTTAAATTTAGTAAGAAAATAAGAAGAGACAAAGAAAGTCGTTGCATAATGATAAACTGCACTCCGAATAACCAAAACAATCCTAAGCAAAAAGAACAAAGCTGGAAGCATCACATTACCCAACTTCAAACAATGCAATAAGGCTACAATAACCAAAACAGCATGGTGCTAGTACAAACACAGACACAAAGGCCAATGGAACAGAATAGACAATCCAGAAATAAATCCACATATTCACAGCCAACTGATATGCAACAAAACTGCCAAAAACAAACACTGGGGGAAAGGACACCCTCTTCAATAAATAGTGCGGGGAAAACTGACTATCCATCCATATGCAGAAAGTGAACTGGACCCTGTCTCTCACCATATACAAAAATTAACTCAAAATATAATGACTTAAGTGTAAGACCCAAAACTATAAAACTACTAGAAGAAAACACTGAGAAAATGTTTCAGGACTTTGTTCTGAGCAAAGATTTTGTTGATAAGACTTCAAAAGCACAGACAACAAAAACAAAAATAGACAAATTGGACTACATAAAACTAAAAAGCTTCTGAACAGCAAAGGAAACAACAGAGTGAAGAGACAGCCCATAGAATGGGAGAAAATACTTGCAAACTATTCATCCAACAAGGAACGAATATCCAGAATATACAAGAACTCGAACACCTCAAGAGCAAATAAACAAATAATCTAGTACTAAAATGAGCAAAAGATCTGAATAGACATTTCGAAAAAGAAGATACACAAATGGCCAACAAGTATCTGAAAAAATGTGCAACATCACTGATCATCAGGGAAAAGCAAATCAAAACCACTGTGAGATAACATCTAATCCCAGAATGACAAGTATCAAATGACAAAAAATAAGAAATACTGATGAGGATGTGGAGAAAACAGAACTCTTATACACTGCTGGTGGAAATGTAAATTATTACCCCCATTATGGTTAACAGCATGGAGGTCCCTCAAAAAACTAAAAACAGAACTACCAAATGATCCAGCAATCAATCCCACTACTGAGTATTTATCCAAAGGAAAGGAAGTCAGTATATTAAAAAGATACCTGCAGCCCCATGTTTACTGCAATGCTATTCACAATTGCCAAGATACCAATCTAAATGTCTACCAACAGATAAACGGATAAAGAAAATGTAGCATATATATATAATAGAATATTATTTAGCTATTAAAGATGAAATCCTGTCATTAGAAGCAATATGGATGAGCCCAGAGAATATTATCTTAAATTTTAAAAACTCAAGCACAGAAAGATAAATCATATATGTTCTCAATCATATGTGGAAAAAAATGAGTTCATACTAGTAGAGAGTAGAATTATGGTTATTAGAGGCTGTGAAATGTAGGGGGAAGGAGAGGATAGGGTGAGGTTGGTTAATACATACAAAATTACAGCCAGATAGGAGGAATAAGTTCTAGTGTTCTATAGCACTGTAAGGTAAATACAGTTAACAATAAATTACTGTATATGTTCAAAGACCTAGAAGAGAGGATTCTGGATGCTCCCAATACAAAGACATGATAAATATTTGGGGTGCTGGATATGCTAATTACCCTGATTTGATCATTGCACATTGGATACATACATGGAAATATCACTCCGTACTCCATAAATATATACAGTTATTACATGTCAACTAAAAGATTTAAAAATATGAATGGAGTGAAAAGACAGTGGATGCTTTTTTAATGTAAAAGACAGAAGCAGTAACAAAACATAATGTTATAATGCTGCCTTAAGTGCAAAAGGTACATTTCTGGAATGCTAACAAATCCAGAAAGAAGTTTTTTAAAAAAATAAACTCAAGATCAGGATGGATACAGGGAGAGCAGTGTAAGGAATAAGGTCCACTAACAATTTCATTAGTTTCAGTTCTGTGCCATATTTAGAAGAAATCCAAGTTATAAGTAGTATAATCCAATAGCACAGCAAGTTAATTATGAAATTACTATTAAATAATTTGTTTCAGGACAAAATAAAACAGAGCTTCCTTAATAGAAGAAAAAATGTTAGGCATGTCGAAGGGAGTAAGAAAAACTGGCTATTAACATATTAAGAAAAGCAGTGGTTTTCAAAGTGTAATCCCCCAACCAGCAGTTCTCAAACTTTAGCATTCATCAGAATCACTAGGATGGCTTATTTTTACAAAATTAAGAATTTCAAAATCAGGAGGTCAGTGGGGCCCAAGAATTTTAATTCCAGGAAGTTCCCAATAACGCCAAAGGTGGTGGTCTAAGAACTACAATGAAAACTACTGGATTAAACTAATGCTGTTATCCCTTAAACACCTACTGATCCTGCTCCCCAAATGCTTGTCGGTATCAACCCTGGCTCCACACAATAGGTATGCTCAGCTATGAGTGACAGCTATTTCAATAGCATTCAGTTCTCCTGACTCCTACTTCATAGAGAAAATTAAAACCATGTTGCATTAATCTCCTCAGTTTCTCACTCCAAATGATTTGCATTCACAGTATTTACCTCTAGCGCTCCTGATCTAGATAGAAGTGTGTGTCCTGGCTGGGCCTGAGGTAATGCGACCCTCTTTACTTGTGTTCCAGGAAACCAATTATTCCCAGACCTTGATCAATCATTTAGCCCTCTTCTATCCCACTCTCCTATCTTACTTTACTGACTCCTTCTGCTGTTTTCCTATAAAAGCAAAGTGGTCTCTCCATCCCACCCCACCCAAGAACCAACTCCTCTTTTGAATATGCATTTACTTCAAGTTAACGGTGTTGTTCCCCACCCCACTACAACGGTGTTTTTCCCCACTAATGACTTATACAAGCTTCTCTCAAAGGTAAGCTGTTTGTTTTCACCTTGAATTCACTTCTTAACTCACAACATTCAGTCCTTCACAGTCACTACTGACTTAAATTGTTTCTGGCCAACTAAAAATGACCTTTTAACAGGCAAATATATGGATACTTCTCTGACTTGACCTTATATGAACATAATTATTTAGCACTGTTAATCATTCCATCTTTAAAATATTTTTCCTGGTTTCTGACATACCATACTCTCCTAGTTCCCCTCATAACTCCCTGACTACTCCTCAACCTTCTTCACTGATTTTCTTCAGAATTCCATTTCCTTCAGCCATCTTCTCTCTTTATTCCGTAGGAATTCTATGGGTGATCCCATCTACTTTCATGGCTTTAACTCTCTACTTACACATTATGGCAGCTATTATTGAGAGAGGAGAAACAAAAAAACCCGGTCACGCTCACGCAGGCAGTTAGGGTGGGTCCTCCGTTGAATCTTTTCAAACAAAAGAACAGTCTGCAGGCACAGACACTGAGGGGCTTGACTAAGACATTCCGACAGTCGAACAGGTAAAAAAGGCTACACAGGTGACTTGCCCAGATAGTCCCACAATGGAAAATTCCATCCCCTAAAACATCCACAGTAAGGGGAACAAACCAATAGGGAGTGATTGATTCTAGGCTAAGGGCCCACAGGCACATTAGGAAGACAGGGTGGAGCTACAAGAAATTCACGCTTTATGCAAATGAGATGCCCAGCCCTCATCAGTTTCCTATAAAAGCCTTTGCATTCAACTGTAAAAAAACACAACCCTCTCCCAGGTCCCCTCTTCACAGCAGACAGCTTTTTATCTTTCGCTTATTAAACTTTCGCTCCAACCTCACCCTTTGTGTCCACGTTTCTTACTTCTCTAGGTCATGAGAAAAAGAACTCCAGGTGATACCTCAGAATAAGAAACTGCTACATTGTGGTGCATTGGTGAGACTGTAACATTATCCATCTCAAATCTGTACCTCTCTCTTGAACCTTTATTGAATGAAATTGCCAAGGACTTCAAATGCCATGGATCTAAAAGTGAACTCTGTCCCCCTATATAGCTCCCACATCTGTATTCCTAATGCCACTCTATTCCTAACGCCAGTTAGGCAACTGATGAATTTTTTACTCTATCCCCTTCTCTTCATTTCTAACATAGTAGCAGTAGCCTTTCATCATCTCTTCCGATGTAATACTTTCATAACCATGATTTCAAGAATCTTATTTTAGAGTATTTCTAACACAAAATTCCTTCTACACTAATGTAAAGGTTATCTTTTTAATAAGCAGATATGTAATATATATCTGTATATCATCGTTCAATGTCTTTATGTCTCCTACAATATAAACTACAAACACTCCAAATAGTATTTCAGATCTCTCAAAGCTTTACCTCCAATTATATCTTTCCAGACTCACTTCATAAATCCCAATAGAACCCTGTACATATAAAAGATCCCACTATTTGAAATTCCCTAAACTCACTATACTTTCAGATTGCCTGTGTCAATGAATCCTGTTCTCACTACCTGGGATTTTCCATTCACCCTCCTCCTTCACCACCCCCACCCATACACACATATTCCAGATCCAACGGGCAGCCTCCATCATGTCACACTCTTCCTCATTTGTCAAAACTGTATTGACTCAATTACCTAGGAAGCCTTTACCATTTCTTACCATTCAGAGATACAGACTTCTTATTAGCTCATAAAGTGGCTCTATCATAGCACTTATATTGCTCTTGTTAGTTTTCCTGTCTCCCTCACTAAAGAGTCTCTGAAAAGGATGTACTTTCTTTACCTTTAGATTCCCCTGAACATGTAAGAGTGCTAGCACTCATTTAATGCATGATCAATGACCAAATTAATCAAAACAGATAAGAGAATTGTAAGACAATTCCTACATGTAAGCAGAATCTTTTCTCGCTTTTATAATACAAAAAAGCGGGGGAAGAAACAACAAAACAAACACCCCTATCCTTCTGGATCACCCTGCCTTTAAGTCAATGTTGTGCTGAGACTGATAATTTTATAACTAACTACACGCCAACACATTGGTTCTCTAATTACTCAAATTAACCATAAAAATACTTTTATGACGTTGACAATTAAGAATCTTAAGGAAATCTTTAACAAGTTTAACATCAATTAAACATCTAAATATTTCAAATTCCCACAGAAATATTAAAACAGTTAAGCTGCTGTGTTTGATTACACTGCCTTTAAGTACCTGTTTAAACAACATATTCTCACAAAATACTGCCCCTGCAATACAGAGGACAAACAACTGACACTATCTATCATGAGATTTAATTCAGCACATCTGCTTACTAAGGTGCTACTCCTCTTATTTCCTTTCCTGATTTTTCCTTCCAAAAACTACATCCTCATTTTAAGAAAGATCTCTAATAAAATAAGGGTTTGTGGTTTTTTTCTGGTTTTAGGATATACATAAATGGCTTATACTTCTTTTAATGTACTCTTCCAATACTTGCTTAAGAAAAAAAATCCATTTTAATTAAATTTAATTAAACCTCCCACAAAATATGGCATGTACAGTCTTGACAGCTGAGCACTAAAGGTGAACACTTCCAGTACAAATTAGCTTGCTATCCTGCTATCCCACTAAGCAGCCAATTGCACTTCAAAACAATGATATTTCAAAATTCTTCTTTCTTACATTGAATGCATATATTTACCATCCACGGGATCTAGTTTTGCTCTCTGGAGCTACAAAGAAAAAGCCTTAACCATAGAACACATTTTTATAATTCAAAGGGAACAATAATAAGCCTATTATTTTTCATTTTCCAAGCTAAACTTGGCAAATTACTTCCAGTAATCCTCATGTAGCAGGATTTTCACTTTTACCATCACCGTCAATCTTCTCTGCGCTAGCTCTAGCTTTCAAATCTAAAGTGAGTTTTATTAGTTCCGCATTTTATTACAAAATGACTATGAACTTAAACCAAAAAAGAATTGAACATAATTCTGAATTCTATAATCACTGTGATCAAATATTAAATGTTTAATGTCTTACATGGCTTTAAAAAGATTTCTAAAGTATACTATTTAATTTCATTTTGACGACATAAAATCTCACCCTGTTTGCATTAGATTTGTTTAGAACAGTTCTAGTTTATTCTTATTGCCATGGGGTAATTTTTACTAGCCTCTCCTTTCATTCTCATTTGTATTCCAGTCATATTGATCAACTTCATGGTCACCTAGCTACATGTATCTTTACATGTTGTTGAAATCAAAATAAAAATGTACAGACAGATCTCTAAATGTAAGATTTGATTTGGGAAGCAAGAATTGCAATTTGAGGTATATACAGACTGAGTGGTCTTCAGTATGTCTGAAGAACAAAGAGAAGGTTGTAGGTCTTCTAAAAAGGAGAAGTGTTACATATCATATTTAAAGAAAGGTCACTGGCTCTAGTAAAGTTCTGGGGAGGTGGTGAGTGACTGTAACTGATTAAGACTAATCTTCGAGTTGAGGCAGGTTGTTCCAGCAGCTATTAGATAAAACTGGTTTCAGGTTACACCAGGCAGTTTCAGCAGCAGGCTTGCAGAGAATTACATTCTCAGAGCAATGTCATGTGACCAGTGCTTTATCCCCCTAGCCTCTTGACTCTGTTTTAGCTGGGTGTGCCAAGATTGACCCAATTTGTATGATCAACTTTCACAATGTTATTTATAGGACCTTTAATGTTTAGTCTCTTTGAGCTTTAATTTTTAACTGCCATTTAAAATATAAACATAAATTTTTAGAAACTTATTAAGTGTTGATATTCAAAGTGGTCAAAATGTCCTTCATTATAGCATGAAGGTACGTATCTTCCATTTCCAATAACAGTAAAAAACAAATTCATAAAAGATTGGTTTAAGTCTCATCCTTCAAGTACCTCACTGTTTACACCTTCACAGAAAAAGCAGAGGAAGATGGCTGAACAGGAACAGCTCCGGTCTACAGCTCCCAGCGTGAGCGACCCAGAAGACGGGTGATTTCTGCATTTCCATCTGAGGTACCAGGTTTCTCTCACTAGGGAGTGCCAGACAGTGGGCGCAGGCCAGTGGGTGCGCGCACCATGCGCGAGCCGAAGCAGGGCGAGGCATTGCCTCACTTGGGAAGCGCAAGGGGTCAGGGAGTTCCCTTTCCGAGTCAAAGAAAGGGGTGACAGACGCACCTGGAAAATCGGGTCACTGCCACCCGAATATTGCGCTTTTCAGACCGGCTTAAAAAGCGGCGCACCACAAGATTATATCCCACACCTGGCTCAGAGGGTCCTACGCCCACGGAATCTCGCTGACTGCTAGCACAGCAGTCTGAGATCAAACTGCAAGGCGGCAGCGAGGCTGGGGGAGGGGCGCCCGCCATTGCCCAGGCTTGATTAGGTAAACGGGAAGCTCCAACTGGGTGGAGCCCACCACAGCTCAAGGAGGCCTGCCTGCCTCTGTAGGCTCCACCTCTGGGGGCAGGGCACAGACAAACAAAAAGACAGCAGTAACCTCTGCAGACTTAAGGGTCCCTGTCTGACAGCTTTGAAGAGAGCAGTGGTTCTCCCAGCACGCAGCTGGAGATCTGAGAACGGGCAGACTGCCTCCTCAAGTGGGTCCCTGACCCCTGACCCCCAAGCAGCCTAACTGGGAGGCACCCCGCAGCAGGGGCACACTGACACCTCACACTGCAGGGTATTCCAACAGACCTGCAGCTGAGGGTCCTGTCTGTTAGAAGGAAAACTAACAAACAGAAAGGACATCCACACCAAAAACCCATCTGTACATCACCATCATCAAAGACCAAAAGTAGATAAAACCACAAAGATGGGGAAAAAACAGAACTGAAAAACTGGAAACTCTAAAATGCAGAGCGCCTCTCCTCCTCCAAAGGAACGCAGTTCCTCACCAGCAACGGAACAAAGCTGGATGGAGAATGACTTTGACGAGCTGAGAGAAGAAGGCTTCAGACGATCAAATTACTCTCAGCTACGGGAGGACATTCAAACCAAAGGCAAAGAAGTTGAAAACTTTGAAAAAAATTTAGAAGAATGTATAACTAGAATAACCAATACAGAGAAGTGCTTAAAGGAGCTGATGGAGCTGAAAACCAAGGCTCGAGAACTACGTGAAGAATGCAGAAGCCTCAGGAGCCGATGCGATCAACTGGAAGAGAGGGTATCAGCGATGGAAGATGAAATGAATGAAATGAAGCGAGAAGGGAAGTTTAGAGAAAAAAGAATAAAAAGAAATGAGCAAAGCCTCCAAGAAATATGGGACTATGTGAAAAGACCAAATCTACGTCTGATTGGTGTACCTGAAAGTGATGGGGAGAATGGAACCAAGTTGGAAAACACTCTGCAGGATATTATCCAGGAGAACTTCCCCAATCTAGCAAGGCAGGCCAACGTTCAGATTAAGGAAATACAGGGAATGCCACAAAGATACTCCTCGAGAAGAGCAACTCCAAGACACATAATTGTCAGATTCACCAAAGTTGAAATGAAGGAAAAAATGTTAAGGGCAGCCAGAGAGAAAGGTCGGGTTACCCTCAAAGGGAAGCCCATCAGACTAACAGCGGATCTCTCAGCAGAAACCCTACAAGCCAGAAGAGAGTGGGGGCCAATATTCAACATTCTTAAAGAAAAGAATTTTCAACCCAGAATTTCATATCCAGCCAAACTAAGCTTCATAAGTGAAGGAGAAATAAAATACTTTACAGACAAGCAAATGCTGAGAGATTTTGTCACCACCAGGCCTGCCCTAAAAGAGCTCCTGAAGGAAGCACTAAACATGGAAAGGAACAACCGGTACCAGCCGCTGCAAAATCATGCCAAAATGTAAAGACCATCGAGACTAGGAAGAAACTGCATCAACTAACGAGCAAAATCACCAGCTAACATCATCATGACAGGATCAAATTCACACATAACAATATTAACTTTAAATGTAAATGGACTAAATGCTCCAATTAAAAGACACAGACTGGCAAATTGGATAAAGAGTCAAGACCCATCAGTGTGCTGTATTCAGGAAACCCATCTCACGTGCAGAGACACACATAGACTCAAAATAAAAGGATGGAGGAAGATCTACCAAGCAAATGGAAAACAAAAAAAGGCAGGGGTTGCAATCCTAGTCTCTGATAAAACAGACTTTAAACCAACAAAGATCAAAAGAGACAAAGAAGGCCATTACATAATGGTAAAGGGATCAATTCAACAAGAAGAGCTAACTATCCTAAATATATATGCACCCAATACAGGAGCACCAAGATTCATAAAGCAAGTCCTGAGTGACCTACAAAGAGACTTAGACTCCCACACATTAATAATGGGAGACTTTAACACCCCACTGTCAACATTAGACAAATCAACGAGACAGAAAGTCAACAAGGATACCCAGGAATTGAACTCAGCTCTGCACCAAGTGGACCTAATAGACATCTACAGAACTCTCCACCCCAAATCAACAGAATATACATTTTTTTCAGCACCACACCACACCTATTCCAAAATTGACCACATACTTGGAAGTAAAGCTCTCCTCAGCAAATGTAAAAGAACAGAAATTATAACAAACTATCTCTCAGACCACAGTGCAATCAAACTAGAACTCAGGATTAAGAATCTCACTCAAAGCCGCTCAACTACATGGAAACTGAACAACCTGCTCCTGAATGACTACTGGGTACATAACAAAATGAAGGCAGAAATAAAGATGTTCTTTGAAACCAACGAGAACAAAGACACAACATACCAGAATCTCTGGGACGCATTCAAAGCAGTGTGTAGAGGGAAATTTATAGCACTAAATGCCCACAAGAGAAAGCAGGAAAGATCCAAAATTGACACCCTAACATCACAATTAAAAGAACTAGAAAAGCAAGAGCAAACACATTCAAAAGATAGCAGAAGGCAAGAAATAACTAAAATCAGAGCAGAACTGAAGGAAATAGAGACACAAAAAACCCTTCAAAAAATCAATGAATCCAGGAGCTGGTTTTTTGAAAGGATCAACAAAATTGATAGACCACTAGCAAGACTAATAAAGAAAAAAAGAGAGAAGAATCAAATAGACACAATAAAAAATGATAAAGGGGATATCACCACCAATCCCACAGAAATACAAACTAATATCAGAGAATACTACAAACACCTCTACGCAAATAAACTAGAAAATCTAGAAGAAATGGATAAATTCCTCAACACATACACTCTCCCAAGACTAAACCAGGAAGAAGTTGAATCTCTGAATAGACCAATAACAGGAGCTGAAATTGTGGCAATAATCAATAGCTTACCAGCCAAAAAGAGTCCAGGACCAGATGGATTCACAGCTGAATTCTACCAGAGGTACAAGGAGGAACTGGTACCATTCCTTCTGAAACTATTCCAATCAATAGAAAAAGAGGGAATCCTCCCTAACTCATTTTATGAGGGCCAGCATCATTCTGATACCAAAGCCAGGCAGAGACACAACAAAAAAAGAGAATTTTAGACCAATATCCTTGATGAACATTGATGCAAAAATCCTCAATAAAATACTGGCAAAACGAATCCAGCAGCACTTCAAAAAGCTTATCCACCATGATCAAGTGGGCTTCATCCCTGGGACACAAGGCTGGTTCAATATACGCAAATCAATAAATGTAATCCAGCATATAAACAGAGCCAAAGACAAAAACCACATGATTATCTCAAGAGATGCAGAAAAAGCCTTTGACAAAATTCAACAACCCTTCATGCTAAAAACTCTCAATAAATTAGGTATTGATGGGACATATCTCAAAATAATAAGAGCTATCTATGACAAACCCACAGCCAATATCATACTGAATGGGCAAAAACTGGAAGCATTCCCTTTGAAAACTGGCACAAGACAGGGATGCCCTCTCTCACCACTCCTATTCAACATAGTGTTGGAAGTGCTGGCCAGGGCAATTAGGCAGGAGAAGGAAACAAAGGGTATTCAATTAGGAAAAGAGGAAGTCAAATTGTCCCTGTTTGCAGACGACATGATTGTATATCTAGAAAACCCCATTGTCTCAGCCCAAAATCTCCTTAAGCTGATAAGCAACTTCAGCAAAGTCTCAGGATACAAAATCAATGTACAAAAATCACAAGCATTCTTATACACCAACAACAGACAAACGGAGAGCCAAATCATGAGTGAACTCCCATTCACAATTGCTTCAAAGAGAAGAAAATACCTAGGAATCCAACTTACAAGGGATGTGAAGGACCTCTTCAAGGAGAACTACAAACCACTGCTCAAGGAAATAAAAGAGGATACAAACAAATGGAAGAACATTCCATGCTCATGGGTAGGAAGAATCAGTATCATAAAAATGGCCGTACTGCCCAAGGTAATTTACAGATTCAATGCCATCCCCATCAAGCTACCAATGACTTTCCTCACAGAATTGGAAAAAACTACTTTAAAGTTCATATGGAACCAAAAAAGAGCCCGCATCGCCAAGTCAATCCTAAGCCAAAAGAACAAAGCTGGAGGCATCACACTACCTGACTTCAAACTATACTACAAGGCTACAGTAACCAAAACAGCATGGTACTGGTACCAAAACAGAGATATAGATCAATGGAACAGAACAGAGCCCTCAGAAATAACACCGCATATCTACAACTATCTGATCTTTGACAAACCTGAGAAAAACAAGCAATGGGGAAAGGATTCCCTATTTAATAAATGGTGCTGGGAAAACTGGCTAGCCATATGTAGAAAGCTGAAACTGGATCCCTTCCTTACACCTTATACAAAAAACAATTCAAGATGGATTAAAGATTTAAACATTAGAGCTAAAACCATAAAAACCCTAGAAGAAAACCTAGGCATTTACCATTCAGGACATAGGCATGGGCAAGGACTTCATGTCCAAAACACCAAAAGCAATGGCAACAAAAGCCAAAATTGACAAATGGGATCTCATTAAACTCAAGAGCTTCTGCACAGCAAAAGAAACTACCATCAGAGTGAACAGGCAACCTACAAAATGGGAGAAAATTTTCGCAAGCTACTCATCTGACAAAGGGCTAATATCCAGAATCTACAATGAACTCAAACAAATTTACAAGAAAAAAACAAACAACCCCATCAAAAAGTGGGCAAAGGACATGAACAGACACTTCTCAAAAGAAGACATTTATGCAGCCAAGAAACACATGAAAAAATGCTCATCATCACTGGCCATCAGAGAAATGCAAATCAAAACCACAATGAGATACCATCTCACACCAGTTAGAATGGCAATCATTAAAAAGTCAGGAAACAACAGGTGCTGGAGAGGATGTGGAGAAACAGGAACACTTTTACACTGTTGGTGGGACTGTAAACTAGTTCAACCATTGTGGAAGTCAGTGTGGCGATTCCTCAGGGATCTAGAACTAGAAATACCATTTGACCCAGCCATCCCATTACTGGGTATATACCCAAATGACTATAAATCGTGCTGCTATAAAGACACATGCACACGTATGTTTATTGCGGCATTATTCACAATAGCAAAGACTTGGAACCAACCCAAATGTCCAACAATGATAGACTGGATTAAGAAAATGTGGCACATATACACCATGGAATACTATGCAGCCATAAAAAATGATGAGTTCGTGTCCTTTGTAGGGACATGGATGAAACTGGAAATCATCATTCTCAGTAAACTATCACAAGAACAAAAAACCAATCACGGCATATTCTCACTCATAGGTGGGGACTGAACAATGAGATCACATGGACACAGGAAGGGGAATATCACACTCTGGGGACTGTGGTGGGGTGGGGGGAGGGGGGGAGGGATAGCATTGGGAGATATACCTAATGCTAGATGACTAGTTAGTGGGTGCAGCGCACCAGCATGGCACATGTATACATATGTAACTAACCTGCACAATGTGCACATGTACCCTAAAACTTAAAGTATAATAAAAAATAAATAAATAAAAAAATAAAAAAATAAAAAAAAAAAACAAGAGGACCAAGAAAAAAAAAAAAAGAAAGAAAAAGCAGAGGATTCTTAATTACCTACCAAAAGAAAACCAGTTCATCAACTAGTGAACTAATAATTCAGTCTCTCATAAACAAGCAAGAATTCTGCACACATCATTCAAAAACTCTGATTCATTGCTTTAACAAGAGATCATTAATTAGAAAAATTAAAATGGAAACTTTAGTAATAGGTTCAAATTAAGAAATTTCATCATAACTTCTAAATTTCAAAAGGAAAAAGCTGAAATCAGTTTCAAAATGTGAAACAGTTATATTACTCAGTTATTATATCAATTCACAATATATTATTGAATATATAAACCATAAATTTGATTATACCTTTATAACACTTTCCCCAATGTAAAATTCATTTCAATCTTGGGCATGGAAGCAATTTTTAAAGCCTAAACATGTATAATTTCCACAAAAAAATGATATAAACTATGTATAATATTTGCAAAAGTACATCTCAGAAGAATTTATTTATTTATTTTAAGGCAGAGTCTCACTCTGTCACCCAAGCTGGAGTGCAGTGGAACAATCTCAGCTGACTGCAACCTCCACCTCCTGGGTTCAAGTGATTCTCCTGCCTCAGCTTCCGGAGTACCTGGCATTATAGATGCCCGCCACCATTCTCAATTAATTTTTTTATTTTAAATAGAGACGGGTTTTCACCATGTTGGCCAGGCTGATCTCAAACTCCTGACCTCAGGTGATCTGCCTAACCTCGGCCTCCCAATGTGCTGGGATTACAGGCGTGAGCCACCATACCCAGCCCTCAGAAGAATTTTTGAAATAAAATATATATTATCCTCTTACAATGAAGCAATGAATGTACACACATATGTTAGATATTTAGTTTAATATTTAAATTAGTTGCCACATAAAAATTCCATTTGACTTGAAAAATATATTTGAATATCATTGCAAAATAAAATCAAATAATTCTCACTGAGGAATCTTAATACAACACATTGGCTACATGACAAAGCAGTCTTAGTCCTTTTAAAACAAAGTGTTAAAAATCAAGTACACAAAATCCACTTTAATTCCTATTAATTCCAAACATAAAGTAGTATAGGTTTATATGCAAAAAAAATACATCTATCGCAAAATTATTCAGTTCATAATGTCCCATAAAATGTGCATTTTACATGACAATCTAATAATATTTTTTAAACCATTAATTGCTACGGATAAGTTTATAGTCAGTATAAAAATTTTCTAAATACTTCAAGAAATAAAAATGAAGCACAGCAGAAAAAGAACCACCCCAAAGTTAAACTCTCTATTCTCCTTCAAAATAACCTTAAAATACAATAACACTAGAATAGTTAGTTTCACAGCAGGAGACACTCCTTATAATTGAAAGTATAAAGTTGAATATGTTTATTAGGTTCTAACTGGCTGATTGCTCTAAATGTTTTCCAAGTGATTTACACCTGGATAAAAACCCATTTGAACATAAAGAGTAACATCTAGCTTAAAATAATGTTTCATTGATCCATTTCTCTGTAGAGAAAATTTCTCTCAAATTCTCAAAAGAAAATGAAAAAATGTTAGCTATCAAATAAAAGCTAGCTCTCATGGAAGCAACTATGGGTCAAAACCCTAAAAGTAAGCTTTGTGAGACAGTTATCAGAAAAATTACCAACTTATAAATTACTCTCAAGGGGTGAAGAGGCAGCTGAATGCTTTACTAAATAATATCTATTGTCCAGACCCACCCTAACCTAACGATTAAAAATAGAAAACAATCTTCCAGTTACAGGAAAGGGCCTAAGCAAAAGAGAGAGTCTGAGGAACACTGTTTTAGGGAATAAATGAGAGCAGAATGACAACAAAACATGTAATAAGAATGTAAGTTGACCACTAAAATATAATGCCTCTTGACAACTCCATAATCTGTACAACTTACCCATACTCATCATATTTATTTATAATTGTATATTTTTGGTAGCAACGATGAAGAATGCAAAAGGTGGAGTCTCTATAGATTAAGACAAAGAGAGAGAAGGAGAAACGCAAGAGGAAGGGTGGGAGTAAGGAATTAGGGAGATACTATAAATTACTGAGGGCACTCACTGTGCACAAAACACTAACAGGTGACTGTGAAATGGATTGACAATTGAATGCCAGTGAGCTTCCCTTGACGGTGAATGCTGAACTTCTCTTGTTAGGTCCATCCAAGACAATAAAGGATTCAAACAAAAAAGTCTGGAATAACTTCCAGGAACAAAACATCACCAAAAAATGGTATGGAAGTGCCTAAAATTACCTAAGAAAAGGACTGGTTTAGTCAGCTTCTTCATTCTCTACCATCTACTGGGAAGAAGATAATATTCTCTCCCCCTCCTATCACCCCCCATATTTGGAACTGTCAGGAAAGTTGCAATATGACATGTTCTGACGAAACAATTCTCCATGACATTTCTGCACAGTTTTCTTCCAAAGTATGTTTAGATGATGTTAGCATTAAAAAAAATCAGCCTTCAGAAGCAGGGCTTCCCTGAGGCAGAAGACAGATTTGTTTTGTTTCCTCACCAGAATAATAAAGCTGTATCTCCTGCAGGGCAAAATTAGAGGTTTGCTAGCAGCCCCTTTAAAAGTCTGAGGGTTCATAAACAACTTCCTCAGCTGTGACACCAACCCACTGAGTTAAAGCATCCACCAGCGGCTCCCTCTGCATTGCCCTCAAGGGATGAGGGGGGAAGGAGAGACCATCTGAACCCAAGCCAGCTAGGTTCAGGTTCAGCTAACTACTGTGCTCTGAAATATAAACCCACTGGGCTCCTTCTATCTTCAGCAGCACAATCTACGGAAGTGTGGCAAGCCAACCTAGCCATTCCCACCGCCACGCTATTGTGTAGGAACAGCTTAACTGCCTGACACAAACAAGCCCAGTAAGGTTAAAACTGGTAATTACCCTGGATGTGGATTGGAAGGCAGCTCTGACTCCCTTTCTCAAACAGAATAATCCTAGGCCTCCCAGGAGTGACTTGATGGTATGCCCAAAAAAAAAAAAACTTTTATATATATATATATATATATATATATAGAGAGAGAGAGAGAGAGAGAGAGAGAGAGAGAGAAAGAGAGAGAACACTATACTGAAGCAATAGTTAAGCAAACATACTTCCTTTTATTGTGCTTTGCTTAACTGCGCTTCACAGATAAGGCATTTTTTACAAATTGAAGGTTGATGGCAACTCTCCATTAAGCAACTCTATGGGTGTCATTTTTCCCACAGCATGTGCTCAGTCAGTGTCTATGTCACATTCTGGTAACTCTCCCAATATTTCAAACTTCTTCATTATTATTATTTGTTATGGAAATCTGTGACCAGTGATCTTTGATGTCACTTTTGTGATTGTTTTGGGGCACCACAAATGGTGCCCGTAAAACATGGCAAATTTAATCGATAAATGTCATGTGTATTCAGACTGCTCCACCAACCACCCATTCCCCACCTCCACTCTTCTCACACGTTCCTATTGCCTAAAGCATAAAAACATTGAAATTAGGCCAATGAATAACCCAACAATGACCTCTAGGTGTTCAAGTGAAATGCAGAGTCACATGTCTCTCACTTTAAATCAAAAGCTAAAAATGATTAAACTTAGTGAGGAAGGCATGTGGAAAGCTCAGATAGGCCAAAAGCTACACCTCTTGCACCGAACAGTTAGACAAGTTGTTAATGCAAATGCAATGTTTTCAAGGAAATTTAAAGTGCTACTCCAGTGAACACATCAATGGTAAGAAAGCAAAACAGCCTTATTGCTGATACAGAGAAAGTTTAAATAGTTTGGATAGATCAAATCAGTAACAACATCCCCTTAAACCAAGCCTAATTCAGAACAAGGCCCTAAGTCTCTTCAATCCAATGAAGGCTGAAACAGGAAAGGAAGCTACAGAAGAAAAATTTAAAGCTGGCAGAGGTTGGTTCATGAGGTTTAAAGAAAGAAGCCATTTCCATAACATAAAAGTCCAAGATGAAGCAGCAAGTGTTTATGCTGCAAGAAGCTGCAGCAAATTACCCAGATTTAGCTAGCATAATTGATGGAGACGGGTATACTAAACAACGGATGTTCAGAGTAGACTAAACATCCTTCTACTGGAAGGCGATGCCATGGCTAGAGAGAAGTCGATGCCTGGTTTGAAAGGACAGGCTGAATCTCTTGGTAGGGGCTAATGCAGCTGGTGACTTAAAGTTGAAGCCAACGTTCATTTACCATTCCGAAAAGCCTAAGGTCCAGCGCAATTAAGCTAAATCTATTGTGCCTGTGCTCTATAAATGGAACAAGAAAGCCTGGATGAAAAACAGCACCTATGTTTAAAGCACAGTTTACTGAATATTTGAAGCCCAGTATTAAGACCTACTGCTCAGAAAAAAAAGATTCCTCTCAATATATTACAGCTCACAGCCAAAGCACCTGGTCACTCAAAAGCTCTGATGGAGAAAGAACGCTGCATAAACTTAGTTGATAGAGCAGTGGCAGGGTTTGAGAGGACAGACTCCAATTTTGCAAAAAGTCAGACTATGGGTAAAATTCTATCAAACAGCATTCCATGCAACAGAGGAATCTTTCATGAAATAAAGAGGGAATCAATGTGGCCAACTTAATTTCTTAAGAAGTTGCCAGCTGCTCCCACCATCAGCAGCCAGTACCCTTATTGGTCAGTAGCCATCAACAAGAAGCAAAACCCTCCACCAGCAAAAGGATTATAACTCACTGAAGGCTCAGAAGATCATATTTTTTAAGCAATATAGCATTTTTAAATTAAGGTATATATACTTTTCTTTTAGACAGAGTGCTATTGCACATTTAATAGACAACAATACAGTGTAAACCTAACTTCTAAATGCACTGAGAAACCAAAAAACTTGCTAACTCTTTATTGTAATATTTGCTTTATTATAGTGGTCTGGCACCAAGCCCATGTCTCAAAGTTACACCTGTATTCAATTGAAAGTATAAAACAATTTCATTAAAAAAAATTAATAGCGGTGGGTAGCAGCGGCTCACGCCTGTAATCCCAACACTTTGGGAGGCCGAGGCAGGTGGATCCCCTGAAGTCAGGAGTTCGAGACCAGCCTGGCCAACAGGGTGAAACCCCATCTCTACTAAAAATACAAAAACTAGTCAGGTGTGGTGGCAGGCACCTATAATCCCAGCTACTCTGGCTGGGGCAGGAGAATCCCTTGAACCTAGGAGGTAGAGGTTGCAGTGAGCCAAGATCATATCACTGCACTTCAGCCTGGGTGACACAGCAAGACTCAATCTCAAAAAAAAAAAAAAAAAAAACTAATAGGCAATGGAATAGAAAGCAAAGTTTGCAAAATGTTTTAATATATATAAGATCAAATATATATTTTGAACAATCCGGCAGCTTCATGCTGCACTTCCACATCCCCAGAGGTATGCATTCACTCTCTTCTTTCAGTATGAGAAGCACTGATAAAAGAGTACTTAAATCAGAAGAACAGCTTTGAAGTCAGTTCTGCATTTGAATACTGGCCCAATTACAAGTTGCATGATTCCAGGCAAATTACTTCAACTCTTGAAGTTCACCTATACAATAAAATCATGCTAAGCTTGTGATGATGCTTAAATGAAATAATACATGTAAAATAGTTAGCAAATATTAAATAAATGGTAGTTATCATTAGTTCAACTACATTGAAATGTAACAACAAAATATAAATCGTAGCATCCGCTTAATTAAATCCAAACAATCACATGTTTTTAAAGTCATTTCCAATTTCTTCTTCCAAGCTCTTTTGATTCACACAGGGAAAAAAATGACATAGGCCTCTATCTGAATTTATGTAGCTTCATATGCTATAAATACAGTTGCAACTTATTTCAAACCAAAGAATACAATCTTTCAACCAATTTCCAGCAAGCAACATTAGAAAACTTAGTCAACATTCAATTAGATGTGTTTCAGTAAGAGTGTGTGTGTGTGTGTGTGTGTGTGTGTGTGTGTGTGTAAAATACATTATAAAACAAGGTTGCTTTAACACTGGAAAAAGATGTGGAGTGTTTTGTGAAATAAATTACTCTGCACAGATGACATATAACATGCAAAATCAGAACTTCCCTACAATGAGAAAGTAGTCAAGAATTTATAATGCGATGGACAAGCTATAACCAAGAGTAGTAATAATGTGGGAATCTTTTATAAACCTGAAGGTTTTATTTGAGCAAAATTTTCCATCAATATATATAGGATCCAAAATTATTTATAATGGATACAAATAAACCTATTTATTTTTAAAGAAAATGAATTGCCTCTTAAGCGATGAAGTGACTGAAGCAGTATGACAAAATTTTAAATGCTGAATTTAAAAATTAGAGAAATAAGCAGCACTAAAGCCACCAAAGCAACATGTTAAACCTTTGGTCCGCACTAAATGGATTACAAATCATACACAAGAGTGTGACACGGTATTTGAATACAAACAGACAAGGAAGAAAAATTTTCAACTGAGATTCCTAAAAATTATGCTAATCAACAAAAATGCATCAAACACTATGTATCCATTTTCAAACCGTCTACCCTACCTCTAACTCACGTAACGAGATGTCCCCGTTAGCCCAGGGAAAGTCCCAGTTTACTCCTGTCATCTCAGCAAAATTATTAATTGCACTTTATTTCTCTCCCACATGTCCTGGTTTGAATCATAAATTATTTACTCACGCTCCTTCTAAATACCTGGCTCCTTCTGGCCATAAGCTATTATCTTTGCCCAGATCCAGATGTCAGGATAATTACACATATATTCCAAGGCAAGTTAAATAAACTTTGTGTGTGTATATAGTTTCATTATCATGATGCTGTAATTTTTTATCTCAAATTCACGAGGAAACTCTCTGATTATCACCTCAATTCATCTATATTTATGGAGTATATATTTTCCATGAAAATAAACTGCCCATGTATTTTCCAGCAAGTAGCAAGAAAAACTATATAGAGATATAGACGCAGAACAGTGCAATGGAAGAATGACTAAAAGAATTTAGTAGCTTATCTATCTTACAGTACTTGGTATGCCAAATGCAGAAGCAGATGGGACAAAAACATTTCAACAATTATAAGACTATAAATAAACATTTCGCATGGTACTCTTAATCATACAGTAATAAAGGAAACTGTTACTGATTTTTTATAATTTTCAAAATTTGATCATTTAATATATAACAAGCCGCACAATAATGACTTAGCAAAACTATCTAATGTAAATCAGGTCTACTTGGCAATATTTACTAAACAAAATAGTTATTTCCTCCTGAATGACTAAAGAAAGTAGTCAACCAATGTGCCTTGCCAGAAAACCATGAGGTTAAAGCTTAGAATGAAATATGAGGAAAAAAAAATAAATGATAATGTAATCTCCAAGTACCAAAAATGGAAAAAAGTGTGAAAATACATGACAAAGTTTTACACAAATATACCAATAAGAATTTACATTTTTTTTTTACAAAAATTAGCCATGTGTGGTGGCAGGCACCTTAATCCCAGCTACTTGGGAGGCTGAGGCAGGAGAATCAGTTGAACCTGGCAGATGGAAGTTGCAGTGCGCTAAGATTATACCACTGCACTGCAGCCTAGGCGATAAAGCAAGACTCCACAGGAAAAAAAAAAAAAAAGAATTTGTGTATTTTTAATTTCTGTATTATCTTCTTAATGAAAGCTGAAAGAAGTTATAAATGTCTTTCATGTTTATCAAAACATCTTAAATCACAAATGACATAAGCCTAATTCAATCTAGTTTAGGCAAAATGGACTTTATAAGTTCATATAGTAATAAGGTATGAAGATAAATTTGGTTTCAGGAATGACCAGATATGAGAACTTAACTGGTATTGTCAGTACTCCCTCTAGCTATAGAAGCTCCCTGAGGGCAACAATTTTTATACATTTTGTTTATTTCTGCATTGATGGCACCCAGAACAAGGACTGGCACAGAGCTAGTGCTTAAATCTTTATGGAATAAATGAATGCCTCTTCTCTTTGTGTTTTTTGCTTAGCATCTGCACACCACACTTTTTCGTGCCCAAGTGAGAGACAAACGAAAAGCACATCCTTCCAATTTCACAGGCCAATGAGCAAGGTAATCATTCTGCTAGTTCCATTTGGACAAATCTCAGAGAATGGCTCTAGTCACTTTCCCAACCTTGTGCCAATCGTGACAAGAGGAATGAGTAATATGTGTAGCCTTGCCTGATAATATGCTACCAATGTGGCCATAGAAAAGGGGGTTGTTAACATGAAAACAAAGAGGAGAAAAAGGAGTGGAGGCCTACAGAGGACAAAAATAAGGAGTACCACACATTACTCAATGTGTCTTTCATTACCAACAACCCAAATGCAAACATGGCATTCATCTTAGTAATTTTTTAGTGCTTTTTAGTTCGGCATATGCCACAGGAGATAGTCCTTAGCTAAGTATTCAAAATGTGCACACAATAACCACAAAATTTTGTAGAGAGGCAAAAACCATTTGTTACATTCCAACCACTTACAAAAGTTGTCCCTATGTAGACATCCATCCTCATTTCACCCTAGTATCTATCCCAACCCATCATGTCACATTATTTTTTGCTCACTCTCATGCTTGACTGCAATCTTACATATGACAAAGGATTTCATCAAGTTGATATTTAAAAAGCGATACAAGAGAGCTACTCAGGTTTATATGCAAAGCCATTGACAATTGAAGACCTGTCAGGATTATGATACTTAACTATTTAAGAGGAATCTTAAGTATGTGAAAATGTTTGCTACTATTTTAAATGTTAAATAAGTAAGTACCTACTCTGGGCAAGTTTCCATGGATGATTTGAAGATATATAATGCAAAGGATCTTATGCTAATATTTGATGAGAAAACGTTTTAAACTACTGTGCTAGAACCAAGACAGTGATTAATGTTTGGTGGCTAAGTAAAGAAACAGTAAGTTAGGAAGAACTTTTTGTTAATTGAAAAAATACTAACTTCAGTGTTCTTCTGAAAATAATGCTTCCACTTCCCCACTGCCCCGAAATGTTTTTCAGTTCCTTCATTAAAAGGAATGATAAAATGTCAGAGTTCAAAGAATCTTGGATCTGGCTCAAGTCTAATTCTTAACTGCCGAAAGTACTGTGACCCAGAAAGATATGGTGGCTTAACCAAGATCACTAAGTTAAAAGAGCCATGACTAGAATTTGTTGCACATTCCCAATTTGCCATTATCTTAGCCAAGAGCACATAGTATAAAAGCCCCTCCTGGTGGTTATCACTAAGTGAAGACCAAAATATGACTCATGTTACAACCTGTAAGAATATGTGTTGGCCGGGCAAACCTACAATCCCAATGGTTTGGGAGGCCGAAGCCGCAGGATAACTGGATCCCAGAAATTTAAGAGCAGCCTGGGAAACATGGTAAAATCCTGTCTCTACAAACACAAACACATACACACAAATTAACCAGTCATGATGACACGTGCCTATAATCCCAGCTACTTAGGAGACTAACGCGGGAGGATTGCTTGAGCCTAGGAGGTTGGTTGTGGCTGTCGTGAGCTGTGATTGTGCCAGTGTACTCCAGTCTGAGCAACAGAGCAAGACCCTGTCTCAAAAAAAAAACAACAACAACAACAACAACAAAAAAATGTGTCTTCTGTGAAGTCGGATAAACAAGTACATATACCTCCTCTGAGGAATATATGATGAAAAAAGTGGTAAACTTTTTTCCTTATCAGTTGTTGTGGTCCAGCTCTTTCCTTTAGCAGCTGTTACCATGTGACAAAAATCTTTAAACTTAGGCCCCCTCATCTTAAAATGGTAACAATAGCACATGTTCAAAATAATCCTATGAGGAATAATAAAATGATTTAAAGTTGTTTTCCTCAAAACGCCAACCACTAAAATCCGTTTCTGAGCTCCAGGAAAAAATTAATAAAGCTGATGATGAACATACACTGACAATAAAACTGCTGCATCTTATATAAGAGGGAACATACTACTAAAGAATGGCTTCTGAATTCTATGTTTTAGTCTAGTCATGGCAAAAGATATATTACATGAATCACTGCTGTAAATATGGAAACTGTAGCATCTTCTGATAACGTTGTCTAGAGAAGACACTGAGAATGCATACCAGTAAGTTAGTTCAGGGGCTGAGTGGCTTTGTTAACAAACGATGGACAGAAAAAACAAGGAAAATGTACTACTCTGAATCAGGTGTGTTTAAATACATCATAAGCGATGATATTTGTTTTGGTATTTAGTTTTTAATAAGTCATCTTTATTAGTAAGAATGAATTAAGCTATAGAAAGTTTTGTAGTACCAGACAGACCCCAAAATTTTAGTGGCTTACATCCATATAATAGTACAGAGCCAAATTCAGGAGATTAAGGAGACTGTACCACACAGTCATCCACACCTAGGCTGATGGCTGCTCTGCCATCCGCAACACATGGCTTTCCAGGTCCCTCTTTACATTCTCAACCTAGTTATAGGGAAAGAGCTTTGTATCAGACTTCAGTCAGGAAAACAGAAACCACTGCATGTGTTCCAAGCATGAAAGTATTTAATACAGAGAATCAGATGAAGCTTAAAACACCACTGGGGAAGGACAAAAGAAACAAAGTTAAAGAAAACAGATACAATCTCTGCCTATAGCTCCAAAGCAGAAGATTCTCAAGAGCCTGGTGAATTTCTACACCTGGAGTGTATGAATGTCTTGAAAGCTTCCACCAACTATCTTGGTCTGCAACAGCTAAGCAGGTAGCTGTGGGAGTCTGAAAAGTGGGACCTTCCCAACCCACCAAAGATGTCCATGTTCTAATTCCAAGAAACAGGTTAATTGTTACCTTACCTGACACAAGATGTGACTAAACAAATGATCCTGAAATGGGAAGAGATTATCCTATATTAGCCAGGTAGATCCAAAATAGTAAGGGTCTCTGTAACAGGAAGGCAAGAAAATCAGAGTCAGTTTTTCAGATGTGGGAATGGAAGTCAGAGACTGGAATGATGCCAAGTAAGAAATAATGAGGAATGCCAGCAGCCTCTAGAAACTGCAAAAGACAAAAAAAAAAAAAGGCTCCCCTCAACGCTTCCAGCAGGAAACAAACCTGCAGACACCTTGACTTTAGCCCAGTGAGACTGACTTGGACATCCCACCTCCAGAACTGTAAGATAATCGATTGCTGTTGTTTTAAGCCTCTAAATTTGTGATAATTTGTTACAGCAACAATACAAAATGCATACAATGGTCATCCTGGACTTCCCTGAACAATGCTTCAAACCTCATATCTGCCCATGAATCTGCCTCAGCTCTCTGTAAAGAACAGTGGCCTCTCTCCTTCTCTTCTATCTTCCAAATCTCAGGGACACACTAACACAGAACCACACGGGGAAGCTTGTGATGCAAACAAGATGAGTCCTTAGAACAGGGTGGGAGTGGACACTCCAGCACAAGCGTGGGGAAATCTTGATGGGTCAAGCTGCAGACGACACAGATCACCTCTGTTTACACTCCATCGCCTAGAACTCTGTCACAATGTCCTATCTAAACATGGGACACTGGGAAATGTCATCTAGCTTGTGTCTGTGAAGAAGAGAAAACTCATACGGTAAACAGGTCTGGCACACCATCAACGGATGTAAAAGAAATATAATAAAATCTAATAAAAGAATGAAAGACACAGAAGGAAAATGACATAAGTAGCTCTAAAGCTGTTGACAAATGTGTTCAAATAGACACTGCACATATTCACAAACAAAAGGGGGTATTAAAAAGATGTTAAGTATCTTTCAATAATATTCAGTAATAATATACGGTAGACAGTGGATTCCACAATTTTCTTTTTTATAATACTACTCTGTTGACAGCTGGATGACGTTAAGATTTGTATATGAATATTTCAAATGAGACAAGAAATCACTTTTTTATTTTTTATTTTAGCTGTTAGAGAAATGTTAACTCAAAAACAACATGGCTGCCCAAACTTAGTTATCTACTATTCTCCATAATATTAATAACCTCGATTTGAAAATTCCATCCCCATTGTTACGAAGTTTCTAATGATTTTTGAAGTGCCAGTCACAAAAATTAGAAAAAAAATCTAAACTAATACTTTAAAAGACACTTTTTAAAAATTTTGAAACTTCAAGTAATTATCTGACAGAATAATAATGGTTTCTCCTATAATGGAGAGGAAGAGGGAAACATTTCTTTAAAGCATTTAATATATTAAAATCCATTTTAAAAGTATGTCCCACCAAACAATTGTTTCAGACTCAATGAAAATTTAACTTTGAATTTTAATTGTTCATATCCTCATGAAAAGGAAAATGCCTATCAATCTTCCAGACTTCCAGACCAGTTTAATAGGTATTCTGAGACTACAAGATACGTGAATTACTTGAAATAATTCTTATTTACAAGTGCTTACTTTTATGAATAACTATTTTCTCAGTATCATGCAATTTAAGAACTATGAGCTTTAAAACTACTCTGAGGATGGTTTCAGTCCACCTTTGTAGGTTCCAGGTTGTTCTTTTTTTTTTTTTTTTTTTTGAGATGGAGGCTCACTCTGTCACTCAGGCTGGAGTGCTATGGCACAATCCGGGCTCACTGAATCCTCTGCCTCCCCGGTTCAAGCAATTCTTCTGCCTCAGCCTCCTGAGTAGCTGGTATTACAGGCATGCGCCACCACAACCAGCTAATTTTTGTATTTTTAGCAGAGACAGGGTTTCACCATATTGGCCAGGCTGTTCTCAAACTCCTGACCTTGTGATCCGCCCACCTCAGCCTCCCAAAATGCTGGGATTCCAGCTTGTTCTTGAATCTTCCTTACCTTACAGCAATCTTCCCAACGGCCTGCCCTCAGACCACAATCTCCAACATCACCATGCAAACAGTAGCCTTTCAGAGACTACTTAACAGGTTCACACCATTGCAAATAAATCGAGAGACATAGAGATTCACCTTCTAGTGGTCCTGCATCTGTGACTGAACCCTGACTGACACACATGAAGTTATTTATGAAGTGATGATAAAGTTATCATCACTTTAATTTTATAGTCATTGGTAAATGTCTTATATTAAATAATACTGTCCCATACATTGACTGTCATGCCTGTTTATATGGGTTTTATAAGCCACCATTTAAAACTACATAAAATCTAAAAGTGCAGGCTTGCCCACTTTAGTAGGCATAAATGAAATAATCCCCAATGAACCACTGTAACGTAACTGCCTCCCCTGGGCATGGACAAGACCTGTGATATAGCAGAACAGCGCTCCCACAATTATGTTACCTTATATGGCAAATATTTGCAAACATAAGGTCTCTAATCTATTAACTCTGAGTTATTTAAATGAGAGATTATCCTGGATTAGCCTCACCTAATCAGGAAAACATTTTAAAAGAAGTGTCACAAAAGTGATCCTAGTGATCTGGAATAAAGCAAATAGCCATGCTGTGAACTGCCTATAGATGGTGCTCCATGGCTGGAACCTGGGGTTGGCAGCAAAGAACTGAGAGCAACACAAGCAGGAAGAAAACAAGAAACTCCTTCCTACAACTACCAAAAGCTGAATTCTGCCTACAACTTGAATGAGTTGAGAAGAGGACCCAGAGATTCAGAAAAGAACGCAACCCGGTCTCACCTTAATTTTGGCCTCCTAAGACCCTTAACAGAGACAGAATCCAGCTACACCATGCCCAGACTTCTGACATCTAGAAACTAGGAGATAAGAAATGGGTGTTATTTTAAGCCACTAAATTGTGGCAATTTTTTATGCATCAATATAAAACTAATATACCCACAAACCACCCTTACACTTTACATCCTATTTCTTAACGCTTAAAGTGGATTACTCATCTTAAGGGAGAGGAGATAAGACGGATGGAAAGATAAATTGCGAAGCGGTTTTATTAGCTATGCCACACTAAGAAATAAGATTTTTTAGAACAGGATATCTTATATACCATCCACGAATGATAACATCTCAGAAGAAAACCGTAAGATAACAGTGTTGGTAAATCACTACAGTACTCAACCTCACGCAGTAATTGTGTAGTGATACCCCAACTAGGTTATAAGAAAATGCCGGGAAGTTCTTATCTCCAAGATCTCTGAAGCTAGACTCCTGCATAGCTGTTCTTACTGCTGCTGTTTTTCCATTTCCATCTTAGCTATGAAGGCCTACTTAAAAATTGATTTTTGAAGAGAGGAGCCAAGATGGCCGAATAGGAACAGCTCCTGTCTACAGCTCCCAGCCTGAGCAACGCAGAAGATGGTGATTTCTGCATTTCCATCTGAGGTACCGGGTTCATCTCACTAGGGAGTGCCAGACAGTGGGTGCAGGAGAGTGGGTGCGCACACCGTGCGCCAGCCGAAACAGGGCGAGGCATTGCCTCACTTGGGAAGCGCAAGGGGTCAGGGAGTTCCCTTTCCGAGTCAAAGAAAGGGGTGACGGACGGCACCTGGAAAATCGGGTCACTCATACCCGAATACTGCGCTTTTCCGACGGGCTTAAAAAACGGCGCACCACAAGATTATATCCCGCACCTGGCTCGGAGGGTCCTACACCCACGGAGTCTCGCTCATTGCTAGCACTGCAGTCTGAGATCAAACTGCAAGGCGGCAGTGAGGCTGGGGGAGGGGCACCCGCCATTGCCCAGGCTTGATTAGGTAAACAAAGCAGCCAGGAAGCTCGAACTGGGTGGAGCCCACCACAGCTCAAGGAGGCCTGCCTGCCTCTGTAGGCTCCACCTCTGGGGGCAGGGCACAGACAAACAAAAGGACAGCAGTAACCTCTGCAGACTTAAATGTCCCTGTCTGACAGCTTTTAAGAGAGCAGTGGTTCTCCCAGCACGCAGCTGGAGATCTGAGAACTGGCAGACTGCCTCCTCAAGTGGGTCCCTGACCCCTGACCTCCTAGCAGCCGAACTGGGAGGCACCCCCCAGCAGGGGCACACTGACACCTCACACTGCAGGGTATTCCAACAGACCTGCAGCTGAGGGTCCTGTCTGTTAGAAGGAAAACTAACAAACAGAAAGGACATCCACACCAAAAACCCATCTGTACATCACCATCATCAAAGACCAAAAGTACATAAAACCACAAAGATGGGGAAAAAACAGAACAGAAAAACTGGAAACTCTAAAACGCAGAGCGCCTCTCCTCCTCCAAAGGAACGCAGTTCCTCACCAACAACGGAACAAAGCTGGATGGAGAATGACTTTGACGAGCTGAGAGAAGAAGGCTTCAGACGATCAAATTACTCTCAGCTACAGGAGGACATTCAAACCAAAGGCAAAGAAGTTGAAAACTTTGAAAAAAATTTAGAAGAATGTATAACTAGAATAACCAATACAGAGAAGTGCTTAAAGGAGCTGATGGAGCTGAAAACCAAGGCTCGAGAACTACGTGAAGAATGCAGAAGCCTCAGGAGCCGATGCGATCAACTGGAAGAGAGGGTATCAGCGATGGAAGATGAAATGAATGAAATGAAGCGAGAAGGGAAGTTTAGAGAAAAAAGAATAAAAAGAAATGAGCAAAGCCTCCAAGAAATATGGGACTATGTGAAAAGACCAAATCTACGTCTGATTGGTGTACCTGAAAGTGATGGGGAGAATGGAACCAAGTTGGAAAACACTCTGCAGGATATTATCCAGGAGAACTTCCCCAATCTAGCAAGGCAGGCCAACGTTCAGATTCAGGAAACACAGAGAATGCCACAAAGATACTTCTCGAGAAGAGCAACTCCAAGACACATAATGGTCAGATTCACCAAAGTTGAAATGAAGGAAAAAATGTTAAGGGCAGCCAGAGAGAAAGGTCGGGTTACCCTCAAAGGGAAGCCCATCAGACTAACAGCGGATCTCTCAGCAGAAACCCTACAAGCCAGAAGAGAGTGGGGGCCAATATTCAACATTCTTAAAGACAAGAAATTTCAACCCAGAATTTCATATCCAGCCAAACTAAGCTTCATAAGTGAAGGAGAAATAAAATACTTAACAGACAAGCAAATGCTGAGAGATTTTGTCACCACCAGGCCTGCCCTAAAAGAGCTCCTGAAGGAAGCACTAAACATGGAAAGGAACAACCGGTACCAGCCGCTGCAAAATCATGCCAAAATGTAAAGACCATCGAGACTAGGAAGAAACTGCATCAACTAACGAGCAAAATCACCAGCTAACATCATCATGACAGGATCAAATTCACACATAACAATATTAACTTTAAATGTAAATGGACTAAATGCTCCAATTAAAAGACACAGACTGGCAAATTGGATAAAGAGTCAAGACCCATCAGTGTGCTGTATTCAGGAAACCCATCTCACGTGCAGAGACACACATAGACTCAAAATAAAAGGATGGAGGAAGATCTACCAAGCAAATGGAAAACAAAAAAAGGCAGGGGTTGCAATCCTAGTCTCTGATAAAACAGACTTTAAACCAACAAAGATCAAAAGAGACAAAGAAGGCCATTACATAATGGTAAAGGGATCAATTCAACAAGAAGAGCTAACTATCCTAAATATATATGCACCCAATACAGGAGCACCAAGATTCATAAAGCAAGTCCTGAGTGACCTACAAAGAGAATTAGACTCCCACACATTAATAATGGGAGACTTTAGCACCCCACCGTCAACATTAGACAGATCAACGAGACAGAAAGTCAACAAGGATACCCAGGAATAGAACTCAGCTCTGCACCAAGCGGACCTAACAGACATCTACAGAACTCTCCACCCCAAATCAACAGAATATACATTTTTGTCAGCACCACACCACACCTATTCCAAAATTGACCACATACTTGGAAGTAAAGCTCTCCTCAGCAAATGTAAAAGAACAGAAATTATAACAAACTGTCTGTCAGACCACAGTGCAATCAAACTAGAACTCAGGGTTAAGAATCTCACTCAAAACTGCTCAACTACATGGAAACTGAACAACCTGCTCCTGAATGACTACTGGGTACATAACAAAATGAAGGCAGAAATAAAGATGTTCTTTGAAACCAACGAGAACAAAGACACAACATACCAGAATCTCTGGGACGCATTCAAAGCAGTGTGTAGAGGGAAATTTATAGCACTAAATGCCCACAAGAGAAAGCAGGAAAGATCCAAAATTGACACCCTAACATCACAATTAAAAGAACTAGAAAAGCAAGAGCAAACACATTCAAAAGCTAGCAGAAAGCAAGAAATAACTAAAATCAGAGCAGAACTGAAGGAAATAGAGACACAAAAAACCCTTCAAAAAATTAATGAATCCAGGAGCTGGTTTTTTGAAAGGACCAACAAGATTGATAGACCGCTAGCAAGACTAATAAAGAAAAAGAGAAGAATCGAACAGACGCAATAAAAAATGATAAAGGGGATATCACCACCGATCCCACAGAAATACAAACTACCATCAGAGAATACTACAAACACCTCTATGCAAATAAACTAGAAAATCTAGAAGAAATGGATAAATTCCTCGACACATACACTCTCCCAAGACTAAACCAGGAAGAAGTTGAATCTCTGAATAGACCAATAACAGGAGCTGAAATTGTGGCAATAATCAATAGCTTACCAACCAAAAAGAGTCCAGCACCAGATGGATTCACAGCTGAATTCTACCAGAGATACAAGGAGGAACTGGTACCATTCCTTCTGAAACTATTCCAATCAATAGAAAAAGAGGGAATCCTCCCTAACTCATTTTATGAGGCCAGCATCATTCTGATACCAAAGCCAGGCAGAGACACAACAAAAAAAGAGAATTTTAGACCAATATCCTTGATGAACATTGATGCAAAAATCCTCAATAAAATACTGGCAAAACGAATCCAGCAGCACATCAAAAAGCTTATCCACCATGATCAAGTGGGCTTCATCCCTGGGACGGCAAGGCTGGTTCAATATACGCAAATCAATAAATGTAATCCAGCATATAAACAGAGCCAAAGACAAAAACCACATGATTATCTCAAGAGATGCAGAAAAAGCCTTTGACAAAATTCAACAACCCTTCATGCTAAAAACTCTCAATAAATTAGGTATTGATGGGACATATCTCAAAATAATAAGAGCTATCTATGACAAACCCACAGCCAATATCATACTGAATGGGCAAAAACTGGAAGCATTCCCTTTGAAAACTGGCACAAGACAGGGATGCCCTCTCTCACCACTCCTATTCAACATAGTGTTGGAAGTGCTGGCCAGGGCAATTAGGCAGGAGAAGGAAACAAAGGGTATTCAATTAGGAAAAGAGGAAGTCAAATTGTCCCTGTTTGCAGACGACATGATTGTATATCTAGAAAACCCCATTGTCTCAGCCCAAAATCTCCTTAAGCTGATAAGCAACTTCAGCAAAGTCTCAGGATACAAAATCAATGTACAAAAATCACAAGCATTCTTATACACCAACAACAGACAAACGGAGAGCCAAATCATGAGTGAACTCCCATTCACAACTGCTTCAAAGAGAAGAAAATATCTAGGAATCCAACTTACAAGGGATGTGAAGGACCTCTTCAAGGAGAACTACCAACCACTGCTCAAGGAAATAAAAGAGGATACAAACAAATGGAAGAACATTCCATGCTCATGGGTAGGAAGAATCAATATCATGAAAATGGCCGTACTGCCCAAGGTAATTTATAGATTCAATGCCATCCCCATCAAGCTACCAATGCCTTTCTTCACAGAATTGGAAAAAACTACTTTAAAGTTCATATGGAACCAAAAAAGAGCCCGCATCGCCAAGTCAATCCTAAGCCAAAAGAACAAAGCTGGAGGCATCACACTACCTGACTTCAAACTATACTACAAGGCTACAGTAACCAAAACAGCATGGTACTGGTACCAAAACAGAGATATAGATCAATGGAACAGAACAGAGCCCTCAGAAATAACACCGCATATCTACAACTATCTGATCTTTGACAACCTGAGAAAAACAAGCAATGGGGAAAGGATTCCCTATTTAATAAATGGTGCTGGGAAAACTGGCTAGCCATATGTAGAAAGCTGAAACTGGATCCCTTCCTTACACCTTATACAAAAATCAATTCAAGATGGATTAAAGACTTAAACGTTAGACCTAAAACCATAAAAACCCTAGAAGAAAACCTAGGCATTACCATTCAGGACATAGGCATGGGCAAGGACTTCATGTCTAAAACACCAAAAGCAATGGCAACAAAAGCCAAAATTGACAAATGGGATCTAATTAAACTAAAGAGCTTCTGCACAGCAAAAGAAATTACCATCAGAGTGTACAGGCAACCTACAAAATGGGAGAAAATTTTCACAACCTACTCATCTGACAAAGGGCTAATATCCAGAATCTACAATGAACTCAAACAAATTTACAAGAAAAAAACAAACAACCCCATCAAAAAGTGGGCAAAGGACATGAACAGACACTTCTCAAAAGAAGACATTTATGCAGCCAAAAAACACATGAAAAAATGCTCATCATCACTGGCCATCAGAGAAATGCAAATCAAAACCACAATGAGATACCATCTCACACCAGTTAGAGTGGCAATCATTAAAAAGTCAGGAAACAACAGGTGCTGGAGAGGATGTGGAGAAAGAGGAACACTTTTACACTGTTGGTGGGACTGTAAACTAGTTCAACCATTGTGGAAGTCAGTGTGGCGATTCCTCAGGGATCTAGAACTGGAAATACCATTTGACCCAGCCATCCCATTACTGGGTATATACCCAAAGGACTATAAATCGTATTGCTATAAGGACACATGCACACGTATGTTTACTGTGGCATTATTCACAACAGCAAAGACTTGGAACCAACCCAAATGTCCAACAATGATAGACTGGATTAAGAAAATGTGGCACATATACACCATGGAATACTATGCAGCCATAAAAAATGATGAGTTCATGTCCTTTGTAGGGACATGGATGAAATTGGAAAACATTCTCAGTAAACTATCTCAAGAACAAAAAACCAAACACCGCATATTCTCACTCATAGGTGGGGACTGAACAATGAGATCACATGGACACAGGAAGGGGAATATCACACTCTGGGGACTGTTGTGGGGTGGGGGGAGGGGGGAGGGATAGCACTGGGAGATTTACCTAATGCTAGATGACGAGTTAGTGGGTGCAGTGCACCAGCTTGGCACATGTATACATATGTAACTAACCTGCACAATGTGCACATGTACCCTAAAACTTAAAGTATAATAAAAAAAAAATAAAAAATAAAAAAATAAAAAATAAAATTGATTTTTACCTCTATTTTCTAATGGTTTTGATCATTTATATCCAGAAAGCATACATTATTGATATATTTTTATCAGAGAACTATAAATTATTATAAATCAACATTGGCTTATATTTCATAAAATGACCCACAGCTGAAAGAGTCCGTAAGAAATTTACCTAAAGTTAATACTTCTAAACAAAAGCCTCCTTAGAATAAATGATCAAATGTTGCTAAACTTCTACAAGATTCTTTAGATACATGCAATATTCCAACAGTTATGAAATATTACAAACATGAAAGGGCTTATCTGATTCATAAAAATATCAAAACATCAGGAAATTGGTTTGAGACCTTCGAAGTAAAATATGAGAGAAATGAAGGTTACCATTAACTGCCTAACAATTTCTCATTTTAAGACTGTAATACTGTAATCCCAGCACTCTGGGAGGCCAAGGCAGGGGGATCACTTGAGCCCAAGAGTTCAAGGCCATCCTGTACAACACAGGGAGACTTCGTCTCTACAATACAAAAAAACTAGCTAGGCATGGTGGCAAGTGCCTGTGGTCCCAGCTACTGGGGAGGCTGAGGTGGGAGGATCACTTGAGCCCAGGAGGTCAAGGCCACAGTGAACTGTGATCCCCCAGCACTGCACTCCAGCCTGGGCAACAGAGCAAGACCATGTCTTTAAAAAAAAAAAAAAAAAAAAAAAAAAAAAAAAAAATTAGCCTGGCATGGTGGCACATGAACCAAGGGCCAAGGAGGCAGAGGTTGCAGTAAGCCAAGATCACACCACTACACTCCACCCTGGACAACAGAGTAAGATCTCGTCCCCCCCAAAAAAAAAAAAAAAAAAAAAAAGACTGCTATTATAATATTGTCACCTACGTACCTAATCAAGGAGAAATCTTATGTAAATTTTTCAAAATAACAACCAATTCCTTACATTCTCTATATCTATAATGTGTGTTCCTTCAATCTCCTTGCCAAAACCCCAAACTTAAATAGCCCTTCACACGATTTAGCAGCGCTTCATTGCTTTCTGAGTCAATTTACCTATTTCCACAGTAGCTATTTAAAATTATAATAAAATGTTGGCCGGGTGCGGTGGCTCACGCTTGTAATCCCAGCACTTTGGGAGGTTGAGGCAGGTGGATCACGAGGTCAGGAGATCGACACCATCCTGGCTAACACGGTGAAACCCCGTCTCTACTAAAAATACAAAAAAAAAATTAGCCGGGCGTGGTGAGGGCGCCTGTGGTCCCAGCTACTCGGGAGGCTGAGGCAGGAGAATGGTGTGAACCTGGGAGGCAGAGCTTGCAGTGAGCTGAAATCACGCCACTGCACTCCAGCCTGGGCGACAGAGTGAGACTCCATCTCAAAAAAAAAAAAAAAAAAAATTATAGTAAAATGCAAAAGTCAACAGTCCTTGAAACAATCCAAATAGGTTAGACTATAGTGCACTAAGAGCTCCAAATCTCAGTATTTAAAAATAAATAAATAAAAGTACATTTCTTCATTGTGAGTTGTCAGGGAGGCTGCTCACCCTGGTCATTCAGAGACCCTGGCTGATAAAGCATCTACCATCTCAAACATTCCCAGTCAGCACAAGACAGGAAAAAAGAATACAGCAAAGCATGCAATGGTGCTGCAAGCTTCTGCCTAGCAATGACACACATCTCCTTGCATTTCACAGGCTAAAGTTAGTCATGTGGCCATGCTGAGTTCAAAATATTAGGAAAGTTAAATCCTACCTGCTAGGTCTGCATGTTTGTATCCCCACAAAATTCTTATGTTGAAACCTTATCACCATTGTGATGATACAAGGAAGGTGGGGTTTGAAGAGATGACAAAATCAAAAATCCATAGGTCCAAGGGAGCTCGTTTGTCCCTTGAATCATGTGAAGACAGAGAAGTGCCATCTCCGAGAAAGTGGGCCTCACCAGACACGGATCTGAGGTCACCTTGATCTTGGACTTCCCAGCTCCCATAACTGTGAGAAAAAAATTTGTATGGTGTATATGCTGCCCATCTGATGGTTATGGCAGTCTGAACAGCCTGACACTACCATATGCATGGGGGAAAACAAAGTATCTACGAACAACCGTAACAACTACCATATTTCCATATAAGGCTAATGCTGTCAGCTGTTCTCCACTTCCCATTCCTTCCTCCTACCTTCTCAGTCACCTGACATAACATTCTTTATTTTCATTTCAGCTTCTTCTCCAGCTACCACCACTTAACTCTCTCTTCCCATTCACAGCAAATTGTTTGAGAAGAAGTGTTGGCTGCCTCCACTTCCTCACAACCCACTCATTAATTAACCTACCACATTCTAGTGTTCACTGTAACACTGCAATGAAGCCGTTCTTGCTAAATCCGAAGAACTGTTCAGTTGTTATTTAACCTCTCAGTGGTCAACATTTATCACTTTTGACCTCTCCTTGGAACATTCTCCTCCTGTGACATCCAAAATTCTGCTGTGTTTCCTTGTAAGCTCCTCCAGCAGCAAAGTCCAAACTTATCACTGTTGACCTCTCCTTGGAACATTCTCCTCCTGTGACATCCAAAATTCTGCTGCATTTCCTTCTAAGCTCCTCCAGCAACGAAGTCCAAGGATCTTTTGCAAGCATCGCTTTTGCAGCACACCAAAATATTGGTATCTTTGAGGGGTTTGCAACAGGTCCTCTATTTTTTACTGTAAGTGCTCTGGCTGGGTGATTTTTATCCACCACCATGAATTCAATTCCCATTTAGGCGAATGATTTTCAAGTCTATTTTATCATCAGCCCAGATCGAAGCTTCATTTCCATATATTCTGCTTCTCAAACATCTCAGTTTAGATATCACACAGGCATCTCATACATTCTCAAACACGAACATGTTATCTTCCTTCGAAAATCTTTCTTCTCCTGTTTCCTATTTCAATAAATAGAATTTCCCTTTTATCAAGAAATGTAGTCATCACCCTTGTCTCCTTTTCTCTCATTCCGCACACAACCAATTACCGAGTACTGTCTAGTCTGGCTCCTAAACAACTCTGGAATCCAAGTATTTTTCTTCATTCTCACTGCCACAACTAATTTCAAGTCATCATTACCTCTCACTTTGACATCTGCAGAAGCCTCTTCTCCAGTCTTGCATCCCCACCTAAGCTATTCTCCACAGCATAGCCATAGCAATCCTTCTAAATATAAACCTCACTTTGTCACTCCCAAGATAAAACCCTTCAATTCTCCCCACCGATTTCAGGATCAAGTTCAGATCCAGATTCTTTAACATGGCTTAAGAAGAGTCTTCAAGATTTGATCCTCACTTCCACTCTGGCCTCAATCCACTATTCCCCCACCCTGTGTATTCTAAACTTAGCCATACCAAGCTTTGAGTTCTCTGAATTTGCTGTGTTTTTTCATATGCTGGACCTTTACCAGTGCTGTTTAGCACTCGCCCTCTTCACTGGGTTATTTCCTATGATTAGCTCTTTAGTTTTCAGCTCACCCCAATATGCTAGTATAGCGCCCATTATTTCCCAGTTTATTGACTTCTTATATTACATTATAACTGCCTGATTTTCTGTCTGAATCTCCCACTGAACTATGAGCAGTAGGATATATCCGGGACAATGGCTGTCTTATTCATCACTCTACCTTCAAAATCCAGCACTGTACCTACCTAACATGTAGTATTCACCAATAAATATTTGTTGACAAAAAATGACAGATCACATATTGGAGAAACTTCAATAACTTGGCACTTTGTTCAGTAACATGTGCCATATTTTAGGATGATGATACTCCAATATATTTATTTTGTATTGCTTACATCAATAATAGTATTTCTACGTAAAATCATCAAAAGGTACATAATATGAAAAACATTTACAACATACTTAAGAAATCAACACCCAAACAGGAATCAAACATATAAGGCTTGTCTACTTTGGGCTTCTGCCATAATTAAAATGGCATAGACATCAAATCAAAGAAGTCTCCATACTCAAGAAGTTTCTATTTTACTAAGAAATCGGTAAAACACAGTATAAAGTTCCCTGGAATCATCTATTTACTGTGTCATGATGGAACCCTGTGAAAATCCAAAAACAAAGATTATGAACTATGTATACAAATGCTATGACGCTAACTCAACAGAAGTAACTTTTGAAGGAAAAGGGATACAGAGAAAAGGGAAGTAATACAACCAGTACCCTCCCATTCCTTTTTAAAACCTTGCAGAATATTTTGTTTCTTACCCTTATAACACGTACCTTGAACACAAGAGACCGGCAGTAATGACTAAGACAAATAACTTCTTAAGTTGTTTCTCCTGAGTTACTGTGGTATATAACACCTATGAAGTTCTTTGAAAACTACAGCAATGAACAAAAGTAGCTTACTGATTTAATTTATGGCTTTGTAGATTAGGTATTTGAAACAGGCAAAAATAATGAGTGTAAATTTAATTGCTATTTGACAGTCAAATAAAAGAACTTACACAGCTCAGCCACAATTAGTTTTTGTTACCCCCCACGAATCATATAACTCAATTAAATTGTTGAAAATTAACGTTATTTAGGCTTCTTTATAAGAAAGTTTTAATCAAATCAAAGCAAGACTGTTATCATGAGTCAACTTCTAAAACATAAAATTAGCTTTGATATATAGAGAAACTACCATAAATCATTCTATTACCATATTTTATATAATCTTAAAAATCTAGAAAGGATCTAAAAGTCTACTCTAGTAGTTTCTAGGCATTTTTAGAACCTAATAAAAATTAAAGATATGCCAGAAAAACACATTTATTCCATAAATGAAAATGTATGTAATTTCAGAGAACTAATGGGAAACTTTTTCTGCATTTACCATGTTCAGAAATCCTGATCTTGTTCAACCCTCTCATTTTACATTTGAGGACAACTGCTGCTCCAAACGGTTAAGTGACTTTCCCAAGAACACAGAGTTTAAATCAAAGGAACTAGAATCCACATTTATTTATCTAGAATTTTTACAAGGTCCTTAACACTTTGTAAGTTACCATTTTATTTCACCCCTGTAATCCCAGCACTTGGGAGGCCGAGGCGGGCAGATCACCCGAGGTTAGGAATTTAAGGCCAGCATGGCGAACATGATGAAACCCCGTCTCTACTAAAAATACAAAAATTAGCCAAGTGTTGTGGTGCACGCTTGTAATCCCAGCTACTCGGGAGGCTGAGGCACGAGAATCACTTGAACCCGGGAGGCAGAGGTTGCAGTGAGATGAGACCATGCCACTGCACTCCAACCTGGGTGACAGTGAGAGACACTATCTTTAAAAAAAAATAATTAACTAACTAATTAAAAAAAGATCAGCTACAAAAAGACAGAGGAAAGAATCATGATAGTAATGAAACAGTATGAAAGTGGCGAAAGGACAGGGGATGGGGGCAGGGTAGGAGGGTAAGACCCTGACAGCATAAATTCTTGATAATGGAGCATGAGAATACAATAACACAAACTCTGGTATGAGGAAACCTTGTTTTTAGTCCCAGCTTTGTTATTTAGCCTGAAACCTGACTTTCCTGCTCTAACATTCTATAATGCAATATTTTGTAAAATCACATTCTACAGTTACTATTCTCTTATGATTTACACTATGTCCAACATCTAAGCATGCAACTCATGTGGCTGTCAATGGAAAGCCAAGCTGAATTCAAGTGCCATTAAGGGAGGAGACCACCCATCATATTGTCTTATGCCAAATTTCTGCCTCCAAAGAAAACAGAAATAAAAACTAAAAGGCAGAAATGAAATCCACAGACAGACAGCCCGGTGCCACACCCTGGGCCTGGTAGTTAAAGAACGACCCCTGACCTAATCGGCTATGATTACAGACATTGTATGGAAAAGCATTGTGAAAATCCCTGTCCTGTTCTGTTCCATTCTAATTACTGGTGCAGGTGTGAGCAGCCCCCAGTCACGTACCCCGTGCTTGCTCAATCGATCATGACCCTCTCACATGGATCCCCTTAGAGTTGTAAGCCCTTAAAGGTGACAGGAATTGCCCACTCGGGGAGCTCGGTTTTTGGAGATGTGAGTCTGCTGATGCTCCCAGCTGAATGAAGCCCTTTCCTTCTACAATTCAGTGTCTGAGGGGTTCTTGTCTGCGGCTCGTCCTGCTACACCATCATGGTAGTATTCAACCTTGATTCAGCCATCCTTCCTCATAAATGCTTCAAGAGGAAAAATGTACAGGAAACAATGGCAAAAAACAGCACAACCACTCCACTATTATGAGTACGAGAAAAACTTTTACTCCCCTTGAAAATTCTAAAAAACATGGACCAATCAGCATTCTCCCTTCCTTAAGGGAGGCCCCGTTTTCTTTTCCTTCAACTTAACTCACATGTTAACCAAAAGAATATTATTAAAATATAATATTCTAAAAATAAAAGTTAAATGACTCTTTGTATTTCATTTGGTATGCCTTTAAAATGAAAACACCTACCAATCAATTATAGGCACACACAAAAAAATAAGTAAGTACATTAGGCCGAGCATGGTGGCTCACGCCTGTAATCCCAGCACTTTGGGAGGCCGAGGCGGGCAGATCACGAGGTCAGGAGTTTGAGACCAGCCTGATCAACATGGTGAAACCCAGCCTCTACTAAAAATACAAAAATCAGCCAGATGTGGTGGCGTGCGCCTGTAATCCCAGCTCCTCAGGTGGCTGAGGCAGGAGAATCACTTGAATCCGGGAGGCAGGGGTTGCAATGAGCAGAGATAGCCCACTGCACTCCAGCCTGGGCGACAGAGCAAGACTCCGTCTCAAAAAATAAAATAAAATAAATAAGTACTTTTAAAAAGCATTCATATAGAAAACACATTGTATGCAGCAAATATACCTGAGGTATAAATTATTCTTCTACCCATTCCTTGGACTAACAATTTTTAAGGTACATATTAAATTTATTTCCAATCTTTTTCCTACAATTTTTTTGATTCACACATTATTTAACACAGAGCTTCAATCCACTCAATAAAAACACTTATTTCACTAAAAGAAACACATGGAAAATTCTCTTCCAAACATGCACAGATGCTTTTTAATAGTGATCACTGAGATTCAAGGATCAGGGAGGGCTACATGTACCTCAACAATCTCCTACTGATATTTAATATGTAATTGACAAATAGCGTTGTATAGCTAGTTATTAAAACATAGGGTAGAAGGAGAATTCTGGAGTAAAACTGTAAACATACAAGTTGTACAGTCATGGGCAAAATGCTTAATTCAACAATACCTCCCTTAGTAGAATGATTTTAGATACAAAATATCAGAAATCCAATTTGAAATGTGCTAAACAATAAGGAAGGTTATTAACTCACAAAGCAAGGAGTTGAGAGAGCAATTACAAGGCTAAGACATGTCATCAAGTACCCAGTTCTTCCCATTTTTCTATGCTGTTTTTTGCCCTCAGGCGTGTACTTTCGAGGTAATAAGATGGTTTCAGCAACCAAAGCATCACATTCTCATACACACACTCCAAAGACAGGATGAGAAAATTTCCCGTCCTTGTGTGCCCTCTGTAAAGAAGAAGGAAACTTTCCCAAAGCCATGTACAACTGTATCATATACTCACTTCTAAAACAATAATTTGCAAGATGCTGAAATAATGATGATCTTTAACTGATAGAAATTATTGCTTAGGGCTGGCAAGTGTCCCAGCTTCTCTCAATACTTAAACCAAACCAATCTACTGTCAGTAAAGACAAAAGTTAGACAAATAGTTTGTCACAACCATCAGGCAAAGATATTGTGAAAATTATATACAATTGTCTTCGTTCGTTTGGGCTGCTATAACAAATTACCATAAACTAGGGGGCAACGGAAATTTATTTCTCACAGGTCTGGGTGCTGGAAGTCCAAGATCAGAGTTCCAGCATGGTCGGGTTCTGGTGAAAGCTCCCTTCTGGACTGCAGATTGCTCACATTGCTATCTTCTCACAGAAGAAAAAACAATTAAAAATAAATAAAAAATAAAATAAAGTTAAAAATAACAGAAAAAAGTTAAAAATAAAGTGAATTATTTACTGGTATATTTATTATTATGAAAATGTTGGTTAATCGTGTAAAGATACCTACCAAGTTTGATATTTGAAAGTGAAAAATAAATTTTCTTTCCCCTTCATGTTACCATGAGAACTCAAGTACCCATAATGCAATGGAAAGGGCACTTCCTCACTTGGGAGAACGAGGACCAGAGAGCTCTCTGGGGTCCTATTTATAAGGGCACTAATCTAATTCATGAGGGCGGCACCCCTGAGGACCTATCACTTCCCAAAGGCCCCACCTCCTAATACTTTCTCACTCAAAGTTAGGATTTCAACCTATAAATTTTGTGGGAACATAAACATTCAATCTACGACAACAATCTAACTAAGTCAAATGCCTAGTATCCTGTCTGCTTGTTGCTTGTTTTATTTTTATTTTCCTGATATAATTTAAGCCTTATTATCGACCACCAAGTTCATTAAATTCAGTAAGTTATACTAAGGTATTTCATTCAATTTAGTATTTAATATGAATAGCAAAAAGATTTCACAATTTATGACCTTTAGTTTTACTGTAAAACTCCTAGAAACTAACTTGGCAATGGTTTGCTGTTTCCAAGCAGAGAAAACTCCGTACCAAAATATTTCCAAAAGTTGAGTCAAATCACAATGACAACCATGTTATGCCATTTCTAAAAATTATACTTCTAAAATCACAAATATTTCCATTAAATAAAATCAGTGCTACAACTTATTTAACCTGTACTAAAGTGCCCTTTCCATTACATTATAGGTACTTGAGTTCTCATGGTAACATCAAGGGGAAAGAAAATTTATTTTTCACCTTCAAATATCAAACTTGGTAGGTATCTTTACATGATTAACCAAAATTTTAATAATAATAAATATACCATAAATAATTCACTATATTTTTAACTTTTTTCTGTTCATTAAATGACAACAAGATGCTATTCTATCTTAGACTTTTATAACAGATTTCAAATCACTCTCTAAACTTACTGTTGACCTTGTGCCTTCCAACATTAAAAAGAAATAGAGACAGGCCAACTGGGAGGCAGGCAGGCAGGCAGGCAAACAGATACCAACTACCATGAAAAAAATTATTCTTCTAGGCCAGGTGCAGTGGCTCATGCCTGTAATCCCAGCACTTTGGGGAGGCCGAGACGGGCAGATCACCTGAGGTCGGGAGTTACAGACCAGCCTGACCAACATGGAGAAACCCTGTCTCTACTAAAAATACGAAATTAGCCAGGCATGGTGGCGTATGCCTGTAATCCCAGCTACTCGGGAGGCTGAGGCAGGGGGATTGCTTGAACCCAGGAGGCAGAGGTTGCAGTGAGCCAAGTTTGCGCCATTGCACTCCAGCCTGGGCAACAAGAGCAAAACTCTGTCTCCCAAAAGAAAAAAGAAAAAATTATTCTTCTGAATAACATCTTTGAAGCCTTAATATTCAATCTATTTATATATGTCTTACTTATCTATGTAAAAAAAACAGTAATACTTCTTGTAAAATAGTCCATGTACAACTCCCCAAGAAATTATGTGAAGCCAGCATCCCTGTGTACTATCTGCAAAATACAGGGTAAGAACTACAAAGCTGTATTATACCGGCAAGTGATTAGATAAAAACTGATGTGCCAGAATGTTAAAATTTGTTTTCCATAAAACAGCAATGAGAAAACACATGGGCCAGATGTGGCGAAGGAAGGATCAAGAGTTCCCTTTCAGACATGCTCAGTTTGAGAAGCTGCAGAAATCTTGCCCAAAAGATAGAAATAAAGACTGGATAGAGACCAGGAGAAATATCCATTTGTTACACACATACACACATGCAAATATGTGCATACACACACTGTTATATAACAAATAAACCTTTGTTTATGTACTTGTTTTCCAGCTGGGGAACACATTATTCCTACACTTAACCAAAAGTAAATTTTCTATCCTGGTAGGATTAGCATGATACTCCAGGAGGAATTCTTATGGAGATGAGCAATTTATAGTCTGATATGCCAAATATCAGAGATATCTGATAGTCTGAGATAGTCTGACATGCCAAATAAACGCTGAAGATCACTGAAATAATCTACAGCAGTCACAGGCATAACAGACCACACTCACATCTAAAATCGATGAATATGTAGGGCTAAAGAGGGAAATAATGAAAAAGTAAATGCAGCAAAAGGTTAAGAGTTGATTACTCTTTAGCTTGAGTTATGTTTCCACTCTTTCCCCTTCTCTGTGCCCTATGTGTGGAAGAGGGCACATATATGGGACTAAACATGCTGGTGGTGCATGTGGAGAAAAATACCCTGAAAATGTTCTCTTTTGACCAAGCTCCTATCTCTTACGTGGACAGACAATTCCTCATGGGTTTCTAACACAACTTGCTAATGCAGGGACTGACTGACTTGTTCTGGACCATCTTTTCAAGGATATTTGCATATAGCACATAGTCAAAGAAGACAGAGTCCCCCTCCAGAAAAATGAGTGTTTACTTTTGAGTTTAATAAAGATAATGTCTCCCTTTAGAGAAGAGGTCAAAGAAGTGTACTGCCCATTTTTAAAGACCTTGGTTTCTTAAATGCAAGGTTCCTCTCCTGCAGTGTAATTCACTACATGAGTGGGCATCACCTAGACCCCCTCATGTTGCTCAATGTGAACTGAAGCTCAAGGAACCAGTACAAATGCTGGGTAATAAACTATCTATTGCTGTGGACATTAGTTGCTTTCAAGGAAGAAATATTTAATAGTTATGACAGTAATACTGACCACCAAGATAGATGGTCCAGTTATAACTCAGCCTCTAACTGTACGACATCAGGCATATGACAAACTCTCTGAATTTTAATTTCCTTGTTTTAAAATATAACACCTACATCTTAGGTATTATGTATACATGTGTGTAACACATAATACGTATGTAACATGTAAAATATAGAACCATATGTACATAAAGACCATTCTATTGCTATAATAAACTATCCTTCATCTGTGACACAAGAATCCCATGTCTTCTGCCATCATCCATGACACTATGGCATTCCTGACAAGCAGCTTTGGCTATTTCCAATCACGCTTCAAGGGGTGGTCATACATACAATCTAACCTAAGTGAAATCACATTGCCTGCACCTATATATTCTGTGCATATATGCGTACATATCAATGCATAACTACCATGATTTCCTGTGTTATCACTGCAAACTTTTTCTTCCACTTAAGTTCTCTGCTTAAAGGTAACATCCATTGCTTACCTCCCTCCTCTCCCCTTTTATCATTTGCTAAGATAGTAAAGTCTCTGTTTCACAGCTGTGCCACGAAAACTAACTGGATATTATACATCCCAATATAAAATGTACTTAAAAACATTAATGACATATAGAAGTTATGTCAAAGGCAATTGAAATATGTTTTATTTAGTCAAACAATTGATCGCTTAGAAAACATGAGCTCTTCAATTTTTCATATTGCATATTCATTATTACCTACATATCATGGCCTATTAGCTACTCACATTCATTGCAGATAAGATAAATTAATTATTATAACAGCTGCTTTTGATGATGGCAAAGTCAATAAGTGTACTGGAAATAATTACAGAATTGGAGCTCTTTTCACATTATCAGAAGAGGTCATTATAAATTAAAACAATTCTAAATGAAGCTGATTAACTGATAAGTGTTAATGAAGTTAGAAAGAGAGAAACTGTCAAAATAAAAGAAACACAAGATGCACTAGATAGGCAAATGATACACTACTAAAAAGCCAAAGTCTCCCAGAAACTCACATCACTTAACATCAGTGAGGATTCAAAAATCAGTTTTTAATGACTATATTCAATGTAATTAAGAAAAGTGACTATACAAATTTCCAATCTTCTTTGCCTATTCACTTAACTCTCTCAACCACATTCTCCAACAGGGAATATAACAAAACATTGTTTTTAATGAATGAAAATGTCTTCACGAAGAAGCATATGTGTATGTGTACAAACATATACATAATACATACACACACACACACACACACACACAAATCCATGGGATATCACCAAGTCTTCTATGATACCAAATCTCTTCCTGGGAAATTTTCAAACAACGTAAGAGAATTTGGAATTCTCGGTGTTTCATGATAAGCAATAGACTATTCCACAGACCATATAATTTATTATTATAAAGTTAGTTTCTTTAGCAAAAAAAAAAAACCAATTCAAAAAAATCTTACCGCATTTCAGGATCTCATTACACTAATGCTTTCATTTAAATGAGGAATACATAGTAACAGCTACCACTTAGTGACCATTTATTATATCCTACGCATTGCACTAAGCATTTTATATACAGTCTTTATATACATATAGTTATATATTTTACATGTTACATACATGTATACATAATACCTGAGATATGGGTATTATATTTATATTTTAAAGCAAGCAAACTAAAATGCAGAGAGTTTGTCGTTTGCCTGATGTCATAAAATTAGAGGCTGAATTGTAACTTGACCATCTATCTGTCTGACTTAAAAATCCATCCATGGTGGTATTACTGTCATAACTACTAAATATTACTTCCTTTAAATCAACTAATGTCCTTTCCTGATTGCAGGCTCAACTTAAGACTTCAGTTTGGCTTCCCCTCTAGAAGGAAGAAAAACACTGTTCATGCTAAATCAACTACTCTGGTACATATGTCAATAATATTTATTATATTAATAGTAAATTAACTTTCAACTGCTACACTTCCAGGTTCCATTGTGCCAAATCTTATCATAGGCATCAGGTTTTAAAGTCAGCTAGACAGAAAGAGACCACATACTGTCAAAATAACCCTGGGCTATCACTAGGAAAATACCACATTGGTGACCACACTTTCCAATATAGCGTGTTTCCCTTCCAATATTGGAAGAGATCACAGTTTGTGAACTTAGTGAGTACCAGATACGGAATGGCCTGTATTTCAGAGATACGCATGCTTATTGAGTAAAGTATCAGAACACCAAGTATTTAACAAACTATAGAAATGATCCCTGAAAGTACAGTCTTGAAAACATCAACTATTTAAGCTCTTATTTTGCTCTTCTTTTCTTCAGTAAAATATACATACACTGTAATACTGTCATACAGTGAAATCAAGTGCTCCTACTTAGGAGAAATAAAACTAATTTGCAAGAAAAACTTTTTTAATCCTCAACAATGTTCTCCCTAATTTTTCATTTCAAAAATATATTTCGAGAAAAAATTTTAATAGAAACATGTTGCTGTAATTTAGATTTAATTATACTAAATCCACAAATGTTTTCACATATTAAAGTCATCTTATTATTGGAGATACTCAGATGCTGTAAACATGTACACTTTTTAGATTTTTTTTTTCCCCTTGTAAACGAAAAACAAAAATGTAAGCACCCTCCGACCTCTGCCCCAGCCATCTGAAAGGGCCCCTCTTCTCCACCGAGGGCATATCCCAAAGCTAACCTGAAAAACCACTTCAGGCGACGATGGGAAAAGTGAGCCAGACATGCTCATTATACCCTCCTTCTTCTTGGAATTCTGGAAAAGCCAACCAGCATTAACATCAACACAGACCTTAGGTCTGATAAGAAACATTTACAATCTATTCTCTCTGAAGTCTGCCACCTGGAGGCTTCATCTGGCTAATAAAACCATGGTCTCCACATTCCTTTCTATTAATAACAATTCTTTCAACCAATTGCCAATCAGAAAATTTTTAAATCTACCTATGACCTGGATGCCCCTCCCCCTTTGAGTTGTCCCACCCTTCCAGATCAAACCAATGTAGACCTTACATGTATTGATCAATGTATTATGTCTCTCTAAAATGTATAAAAGCCAGCTGTACCCTGACCACCTTGGGCACCTGCCATCAGGACCTCCAGAGGCTGTGTCACCAGTGCATCCTTAACACTGGCAAAAAAAAAAAAATTGATTAAGGTCAGTCTTAAAATACTTTGGGGTTCACACCCTTCAAATGAAAATTGGCGTGGTCCTAGGGATCGTCCTAGGAGATAAAACATCACAATTTCCATGGAGTTCTTCATCATCTTTTATTGCCCTTTGCTTTGGTAATCCACAAAAAAAACTGTCTACTTTTTCTTCACTCTTCTACCTTTCTCGTGAACTCCTAAATCTAAAACTCTTGGAATATGGTATACAAATACCAAGTGCTAAAAAAAATCATTAATTTATATTTGTAAATACAATTTCAGTTTAACAGTGGTTCTCTAAATCCCTTAGCAGAACTTCACCAATAATTTCATATGACCTACTTTCATGTTAAAATTTAAAAGCTGAAGAGAGGTACATTAGTTAAAATTGAACACACAATATTTGTTTCAGACTAAGAATAAAGAGAAAGGGAAACAATCACTCTGCATATGAGGGTATTTTTTCACTGTCTCTACCCAGCTATTAAAATTTTGTTAATATCTTAAACCCAATTCAGATTTTGAGCCCTGTGTAGGTGTACAACTTAACCAGGAAAAACTATCTTCAATTATGTAAGCAGATAACTCTCACCAAAATGGTCCACAATTAGAAACCCTAGTCACATTCCCGAAATAACTATTTTTGCTGAAGCAGCTAGATCAACTATCCATGATGGATAATTAGAACTTACAAACACTCCACCTACTTTAAATACAACCAGTCACTTCAAATCTCAACCTTTTCAAAGTTAATGGTGGATTAAGATTGAAATCAGATTGAATGAACTTCAGAAATAAATCCACATAAAATAAATGGCAGGTTATTTTCACAAGTATACACTGAGTTCAACGTAAAGTAAACATACAGGATAACTTAAAACACACTCTCAATATGTTCTGTTGTACTTGCACAAAATAAAAAATGCAAGCTTATTCTCACAAGTATACACCGAGTTCAACATAAACAAAAATAAACATACAGTGTAACTTAAAACACACTCTGCACAGGTTCTGTTGCTTCTTGAAATGGGTAATGAAGGGAGCAGAGTAAGAAAATAAGGAAAACATATTTCCTGCAGGCTTATAAATACTTCCAAAGGGTATTTTCACATCCAACACACCCCTTTTAGTGGCACCATTGCTCTAAGCTGGGCTTCCAGCTGGGAATAAAGGCGCCCTGGGTCTGAAAGGTGTGAGGTGCTCAGAAGCAGTCAAGAACACGCTTTGCCGTCGTTTTTCAAGTCAGAACCCTGCTAACTCCACGTCCCGGAAACGCCCCAGGGCCTCCCACCCTCGCGGCTCCCGCCCCAGCGCCGGCATCGCCCACGCCGGCGACCAGGCTGCCTAGCAACACGGCAGGGCTGCCTGGCAACGCGGCCCACCCTGGCCCGCCCCCGCCCACAGGGGAAGGCCAAGGGGATCCATTCTACCTCCTTTTTCTTCTGTCCTCCCCCGAGCTGGATGCAGAGCAGCAGCAGCAGGAGAAGGAAGGGAAAGCTCCCGGTGGGCAGGTACCGCAGCCGCCGCCCCGCTTGCCTACGGCGTGAAGGAGCGCCCCGGGCCCCCATCGCGGCAGGGCAGTGTCTCCTCCACGCGCGGTAGCCGTGCGCGCCCAGCTCCTACCGCGCACCACGCCTGCCCGGCCAGCCTCCGGGAGCCCGCTGGCTGGGCCCTCCGGGATGGCAGCGGCTTTGCGAGGGACCCGGGCCGCGGCCGAGGACGCAGAGGAGGAGACTGACAGAGCATCCGGTTCACCGGGAGAAGACCTGGAAAGGCGCGGGATGGGGGCAGGAAGTGGGCGTGGCGAGGGAGCCAGGCTTCGGGGGCGCGGCGTGCGCTCCCGCCCGGAGCTTGCCTTTCCCGGACCAGCGCTGAGGAGAGGAGTGGTCCTTTGGCCCTGGGACCTCAATCTGAGGCCATCCTGCTACTGAACCCAATTACTGGGTAGTCCAGCACTTTACCTGGGGCCTAGCACAGAAAGACCTGAATGCCTTCTTGGATGATGAAGGGGAAGCTTTGGGGAATGACAACCTGGCCCCTGCGGTCCCCAGCAATCTCTATTCCCATTGAGATCATTATTAGGAACACAGCTCTTCTCCTTCAGAGCCCTGGGAAACCATCTAACTCCAGAGTCCCCCGATGCACAGAAGCCGCCCCACAACTTCACAACTGTTCCTTCCAGCCCCACTGGAAGGCCTGAGGCACAACCTAGACTCCACTTCATTCAATGACTCATTCAGCATCCATGGAGTGCATAAGTACAGAGCACCGTACTAGCTACTTTTAATATAAAAACGAATAGACTTACTTCAATTTCTATTCTATGAATATTTTAAGAACCATAGCAGACTGGACATGGTGGCTCATGCCTGTAATCCCAGCACTTTGGGAGGCTGAGGCAGGTGGCTCACCTGAGGTCAGGAGTTCAAGACCAGCCTGCCGTAACATGGGGAAACCCCATTTCTACTAAAAATACAAAAAGTAGCCGGGCATGGTGGAGCGCCTTGCAGTTCCTCTACTTGGGAGGCTGAGGCAGGAGAATGGCATAAACCCGGGAGGCAGAGGTTGCAGTGAGCCGAGATCACTCCACTGCACTCCAGCCTGGGAGACAGAATGAGACTCTGTCTCAAAAAAAAAAAAAAAAAAAAAAAAAGAACCATAGCAGCAGACTGTATGTTGAACGTTTGATATGGGCCTGATCCGTTCTAATGCATCATGGTTTTTATTACTCTAGTATCTAGAGATTTCTTCACTTGTGCCATGAACACCTTTGGTAATGTGATAAAACCTGTAGACGCCTTCTTAAAATAGCACATATTTCTAAACGCATGAAATTAAATACATAGTATTAGCCAGGCACGGTGGCTCACACCTGTAAACCCAATGCTTTGGGAGACCTATGCAGGAGGCTTGTGTCCAAGAGTTGGAGAGCAGCCTGGGCAAGATAGTGAGACCTTGTCTTTACGAAAAAAAAAAAAATTAACAGCTGGGTATGGTGGGGAGTACTTGTAGTCCTAGCTATTCCAAGACTGAGGCTGGAAGGATCACTAGAGCCCAGGAGTTTGAGGTTACAGTGAGTTCCGATCATGCTACAGCACTCCAGCCTGGGAGACAGAGCAAAACCCTGTCTCCAAAAATATATACAGAATATAAAAATATTATATATATAATACTTAAGGAATATATACGTATAATTGTTCAAGATATCTGCAACAACTTACTGAGTATGAAAATAATTTCTGTAGGAAACAAAGTTGTAGGTACTGATAATACTACTGTGGTTTGTTGCCTGCCTTTATAATTCAAAGAAACGAAACTGTTGTGAGGTTAATAGACATAAAGTTACGATTTTTTCAATACAAAGTTCACAGATGCTGAAATTTCATGGACTCCAGATTAAGAACGCTTGCTCCACAACAACCCTATCAACTAGGTTCCACTGTTAACGATTTTCAGATAAAGAAATTAAGGCCCAGAAAAAATTTGAACATTGACAGTCTGGCTCTACAGTCATGCTTATGCTACGATGCCTTTGTTAAAGGAGTTTACAAATATATATCACTTTTCTGTATCGCAAGCTTTTGATTTCCCACTATTATGTGAACATTTTGCCTGAATTATCACTCCTGTTAAAAACTTTAGACAAAATAAACTTTACACCTTATTTCAGCAAACAACAATTCATAAATCTGCAGCACTCTGAACCAGAAGTGTTCAGAAAGCTCAGCTCCAGTGGCCTGAGAGCAAGCTTCAATAGACTAAACATAAAAACAAAGTAAGGAAATTACCTAATTGGCTACAGCTACGTTTGCCTTATTTGGTCATGGTGTAATAAGGCATTTACCTATATGGCTGTGGTCTGATGGGAGGTCCCTAGTTGTATAACCAGTCATCCTGTTGGCTGTTTGTGATTGCCTGCGGCTGGTGGGTTTTAATAAGTCAGTTACAAGAACTGTTTCCAAGATAAGCTCCTATGTGCGTACATAAGAGCTCCACTTACACAACCACCCCAGGCTAATTGCCTCTTGCGTATTTTTGCTTTAACACTCCTAAACAATGGCTCCTGGCTGTTTCCTTGAGACATAAAAATAGCCTCAACTTTTGTCTGTTTGGAGACAAGTAAATTTATTATCTTTATCAGTAAAATATTGACATCTAGATATACTCAACATAATCACAACTCATCATCTTTCCCTTTCTCTCCCCAACTTGTGGTAATTTCTTTATTGTAAGCAATGGTACTTCAATCCTTCTAATTACCAATTTTCAGAGCCTCAAAGCTGTCTTCCATTTTCCCATCCTCCCCAAACATGCTGCCTTTATATTCAGTTTCCAAGTTACGCTCCCTCCACAGGGTCCTAGGGATTTGTTTTCTGTCTCCCATTTTGTAACTCTAGCATTCATTAGAAACACATGAGATGTCATTATCAGTTGACCCTCCTTCCCTGACTTAGGTTGATGACAAGAGTCAAACTCTGTAAAATGTTTGAAGAGATTTATTCTGAGCCAAATATGAGTGACCTTGGCCAGTGACACAGCCTCAGGAGGTCCTGAGAACATGTGCCCGAGGTGGTCGGGGTGCAGCTTGGTTTTATATATTTTAGAGAGGCATGAGACATCAATCAAATACATTTAAGAAATGCATTGGTTTCGTTCAGAAAGGCAGGACGACTTAAAGTGGGGTGGAGGGGAGCTTCCAGGCTATGGATAAAATTAAACATTTTCTGACTGACGATTGGTGGAGTTTATCTGAAAACCTGGGATCAGTGGAAAGGAATGTTTAGGTTAAGGTAAAGGATTATGGAGACCAAGTTTTATTGTGCAGAGCAATCTCTCAGACAGACTTCAGAGAGAGAGAGAGCAGGTTGTAACATGTTTCTTAAGAGACCTAAAAGGGTGCCTGGCTCTTAGTTGATTATCTTACTGGATCTGCAAAGAAAGGAAGAAAAACAAAGGGGAAAGGGGATTCTGTATAGAATGTGGATTTTTCCCACAAGAGACTTTGCAGGGCAATTTCAAGGTATGGCAAGGATATATTTTTTTTTCCTTGTCTCATACTATTATGCCAGAGTCAGAATGAAAAGTAAGTCATGATATACAGGGTCAAATAAAATCCATCTGATGAGAATTTATGGTTTGTAGGGCATGACTCCCCAGACACCTTAGAAGGAATTTGGGCAAGATAGAAAATCAGAGCTTAGTCCTCACTTAAAATCTCACCAACCTCCCATACAGGCATAATGCAAGACTCCTTAATCCTGCCTTCCTGCATTCTTTTTTTTTTTTTTTTTTTTTTTTTTTTTTTTTTTTTTTTTTTGAGACGGAATCTTGCTCTGTCACCCAGGCTGGCGTGCAGTGGCACAATCTCAGCTCACTGCAACCTCCGCCTCCCAGGTTCAAGCTCTTCTCCTGCCTCAGCCTCCCGAGTAGCTGGGAGTATAGGCACCCGCCACCACGCCCGGCTAATTTTTGTGTTTTCAGTACAGATAGGGTTTCACCATGTTGTCCAGGCTGGTCTCGTACTACTGACCTCAGGTGATCCACCCACCTCGGCATCCCAAAGTGCTGGGATTACAGGCGTGAGCCACTGCGCCCAGTCCTCTTGCATTCTTTTCTTGGTAAAGTGTCTGGAGTGATCCTTTTAATACATAAATCAGTGTAAAGTATTATCTCTGTCCTCACCAGCAAATGCAAAATCTTCCATGCCCTCAGGACTTTACATTACCTTCTACCTGGCAACCTTTCCTAACATCATTTCCTATTTTTCCTCTGCTTTCTCATGCTGCTCCAGCAAGGCTAGCTGTCTTGCTTTCCCAAATATGCCGTGCAGACTCTGTCTCTACACTTTGTACTGCTGTTCCCTTTGTTGGAACCCTTTTTGCCTAGATCAGTGGTGTCCAATCTTTTGTATTCCCTGGGGCACACTGGAAGGAGAAGTGTTGTGGGCCACATATAAAATACAGTTACAAACACTAATGATAGCTGATGAGCTTTAAAAAAGTTGCAAAAAAACTCATGTTTTCAAAAAGTTTATGAATTTGTATTGGGCTGCATTCAAGGCCGTCCTGGGTTACATGCAACCCGCAGGCCACGAGTTGGACAAGTTTGACCATGATAGATGTTCACGAGGTGTATTTCATCACTTTATTCAGGTCAAGGCTCTGATCTCCCAACACGTCATCTCCTAGTTTCCCAAACCTCCCCTTCTTAAAACTCCTTACCCTTGACACACACACTCCTTAACTTTTTATAGTACTGCTACTATCACTTCCTGACATGCTATTGTTTCATTTATTTCTAGTCTTTCCCCGTTAGGATGCAAACTCCATGGGACAGAGGGTATGTATTCATACTGTCTAGAATAGCGCTTGCTTTATCTTTTCAATAGCATCCATCACTAGCTGACTCAAAGTCATCCCCCTGTTCACCTGACACAAATGCATATCTGATTGCTTCCTCTGCCCTATAATTGTTTGTCTTTTCCCATTAGAATGTAAGCTCTAGGACGGTAGAAACTTTGTTTTCTGCACCTTTTAGTCCACACTATCCAGAATACAGCACTTGTTGAATGAGTAGATGAATCCACCCATTCTGTTTATTCCCTAAAGCACAGCACTAATCATGTCATTCTCCTTACTCCAAAGATTGTCAGTGACACTCTACTAGGTTCAAAAGGAGGTCCAAACTCTTGAAAGAGATTTACGACTAACCCAAATTCTTTATCCTTGCTTTAAAACATAAGCCTTCAAACTGGAGTGCACAAAGACCTTCCAAGAACTATATAGTCTCAATGGTTTTACAAGAATTAATTTCCAGAATCTAACCTGCTATATATCATTCTATTTATTTGAATATGCTTTTATATTTTTAAAAAGTTATCATACAAACAGTGATAATTTACTTAACACATGAAACCAATTTCAGAAATGTTAAAGCAAAATAATATGGCCTGAGAAGGACTCCATACTCCTATATTTGAGTCCTTGTGGATGAACTGTAACCTAGCTTAATAGACAAAATTGAAAACCTAACTTAATAGTATGCCTGTAACAACAGCTGAGTATTGGCCAATCCCAGCGGCCATACTTCAACCACTCACAGACTGCTGAATGTTCAAACTGCGTTCAAGTAAGCCAAACACTGAGCTGTAACCAATCACTGTTTATGTACCTCACTTCTGATTCCTGTACGTCACTTTACCTTTTTTGTCTATACATTTGTTCTGACCATGAGGCACCCCTGAGGTCTCTGTCAATCTGCTGTGATTCTGGAGGCTGCTGGATTCACGAATCGTTCATTGCTCAATTAAACTCCTTTAAATTTAATTTGGCTGAAGTTTTTTTTTTTTTTTTTTTAAAGACCGAGTCTCGCTCTGTCACCTAGGCTGGAGTGCAGTGGCGCGATCTCGGCCACTGGCAAGCTCCGCCTCCCAGGTTCATGCCATTCTCCTGCCTCAGCCTCCCGAGTAGCTGGGACTACAGGAGCCCACCACCAAGCCCGGCTAATTTTTTGTATTTTTAGTACAGACGGGGTTTCACCGTGTTAGTTTGGATGGTCTCGATCTTCTGACCTTGTGATCTGCCCGCCTCGGCCTCCCAAAGTGCTGGGATTACAGGTGTGCGTCACCGCGCCCAGCCCGGCTAAAGTTTTTATCAGATATTTTAACCATGAGAAATTTAACCCTAGTTTTGTATAAACCTAAATATTGTGCTGATATTATTTCTATAGTATGAAAGTAAATTCTACGGACTCTTTAAATAATGCCAAAAGTTATTATTTTATCTTGCAACTAAGATCTTTTCATTTTATCTCATAATTATAGTAATAAGGCTGTGAATGGAAAATAAATCTTGAGGCCCCAAACTCACTAAACCAAAGGGAAAAGTCAAACTGGGAACTAGGTCACACACCTGCCACTCATGTTGATCCTGACAAAGCAAGAACATCACTATCTTGGACAAGCACTGCCATTCTAAAGTTTCCCTTGATCAAAAACCGCCTAAATCCAACCCAAAGGCCATCTGCGTAATGGCTAATGTCAGCCATCACCATAAACCACAAATGACACCTCCAACCAGAAACTTTCCAACCATGAGATAAACCCCTCCCTGACCACAGACATGCCAGCCCCAAGAAACCTCCCCACTGACTGGAGAGATGTCAGCCCCAAGATAACCTCCCATCTGGCCAGAGACATTTCAACCCCTCAGTAAACTTCTCAACACAGAAACATTCAGAGCCTTCTCTCGCCCTGAAACCTTAAATACTCTTAGCCTGTAAGAGACAGTGCTCCTGACTGAAGCTGGCCAGAAGCCCCTCTCAGGTTTTTTCTCCAAAATCAACCTACCTTTTACTGTTGAACTGCTTTTTATGTTTCTCTCTTCTTTAACTCTTACAGTTCCAAAATAAGACAGCAACAAAGATAAAAAGCTACATACCTCCCTCACAAGGTGTCCACAGGGAAATTCCTTGTAGACCTTAAGATCTTTACCCTAAAACAGTTCGGTTGAATTTCACCCTAGCAATATAAATTGATAGTCTATCTTCACAGGTATTAGACAAAGGACAGAACTCAAAGTCATCCCTCTGTTCACCTGAGACAAATGGATATCTGATTGCTTCCTCTGCCCTATATTTAGGTTATGTAAAAATGCAGATTTACTTAGCTAGACAACAGCATAAGTGACTATTCCTCTACCCCTCTGTATTAATCAATTTTCATGCTGCTGATAAAGATATACCCAAGACCGGGAAGAAAAAGAGGTTTAATGGACTTACAGTTCCATGTGGCTGCGGAGGCCTCACAATTATGGCAGAAGGAGGAGCAAGTCACATCTTACGTGGATGGTGGCACGTAAAGAAAGAGAACTGGTACAGGGAAACTCCCATTTTTAAAACTATCAAATCGGTCTGGGCGTGGTGGCTCATACCTGTAATCCCAGCACTCTGGGAGGCCAAGGCAGGGGAACACCAAGGTCAGGAGTTCAAGACCAGCCTGGGCAGCATGGCAAAACCTTGTCTCTACTAAAAATACAAAAATTAGCTGGGCATGGTGACAGGCACCTGTAATCCCGGCTACTCAAGAAGTGGAGGCAGGAGAATCTCTAGAACCTGGGAGGTGGAGGTTGCAGTGAGCGGAGATCGTGCCATTGCACTCCAGCCTGGGCAACAAGAGCGAAACTGTCTCTAAAAACCATCAGATCTCATAAGACTTATTCATTATCATGAGAACAGCACAGGAAAGACCTGCCCCCGTGAATCAGTTTTCTCCCACTGGGTCCCACCCACAACAAATGGTAATTATGGGAGCTACAGATGAGATTTGGGTGGGGACACAGAACCAAACCATATCACCCCCTCACATGTAAATTGTGAAAAGCTAATCAAAGACTCAGAAGAATACAAACTTTTGTCTCTTATCTGCCCACACCCTTTTTAAACTTCTTACTCTCTCCCCAGTACCTGCCCTTTTTACTTTAAATATTGAGGATCCCAGACCGTCTTCAGAAAAACACGGACCATAGTTTTTCCTGTGGATCTATGGTCTTTCCAGGGCTTATCTTAACTTTTGGCAAATAAACCTCCTAAAATGATTGAGACTTGCCTCATTTTCTTTGATTTACATAAGGTACTTCTCAGCCTCCACAAATGTAAAGTAAATGAAACACACCATTTTTCTTTTTTTAAACAATTTGAATGTTTATGCTAGTTATTCCCAGTGTTCATGTATATCAAGAAAATGAATTTTTTGATCTGTTATTCTTTAAAATTTCCCAAGTCCCAGAAAAAGAAAGGCAGAGGAACAGAAACAGCAAAAGTAAGTAAAAAGGAGCCAAGTTCAGATAAATATTAAATTATCAGTATACTAAGCTAGTTATCTCCTATCTGCAAGGAAAAGAAAAAAAACTTAGGTGCATTTGACATATATACACACAAAAAAGAGTAAGTCACTGACAATTTTATCAAGCCATATAATTAAGAAGCCAGGGATTATTGAACCCTGAAGCAAAATGGAAGTGGCATCTTCTACCTGAAATAAAATAATTTCTTTTATAGACAAGACAATTTCATGACAGTTTCTTTCCTTTTTCTTTGATGGTAACTATCAAATGAACATCTTTCTAATGTCAAAGTTTCCCCAAGTAGTCAGTACAATTCCAGATTATCTCTAGGAAATATCACCAGTCAGAAGGTAAGTATACCGTATAATTGAGAAAACATGGAGGAAATGTTACAGGCAGAAGGTATCCAAGTTACATAGCAGCAAAATACATTAACAGTGGAAGTTATCTGAGTTACCTGTGGCAAATTCATACAGGTCTGCAACAACTTCAATTCTTGCCTTCTCAGAAGAAAGGATGAGGGGCATTCAACTGAGGGGCATAAGGCAGAAGAAGAGACCAAGGCAAGTTTTAAGGCAGGAGTGAACGTTTATTAAAAAGCTTTAGGCTGGGCACAGAGGCTCACGCCTGTAATCCCAGCACTTTGGGAGGCCGAGGCAGGTGGATCACCTGAGGTCAGGAGTTCGAGACCAGCCTGGCCAACGTGGCGAAACCCTGTCTCTACTAAAAATACAAAAATTAGCCAGGCACTGTGGCGGGTGCCTGTAATCCCAGCTATGCGGGAGGCTGAGGCAGGAGAATCGCTTTAACCCAGGAGATGGAGGTTGCAATGACCACCATTGTACTCCAGCCTGGGAGACAGAGCAAGACTGTGTCTCTAAATAAATAAATAAATAGCTTTAGAGCAGGAATGAAAGCAAAGGAAAGTACACCTGGGAGAGGCCCAGGCAGGCAGCTTGGAGGTCAAATCCCCCTTTGACTTTGAACCTGGGATTTTATTTGTTGGCCTACTTCTGGCAACTTGAGCTCCTTTCCCTTGATTCTTCCCTTAGGGTAAGCTGCCCGCATGCACAGCGGCCTACTAGTGCCTAGCAGGTGAGCACACACAGTGTGTTTACTGGAGTTATACACATGCGGACCTGAGGCTTTCTTCCCTTTTCCAGTGGAATGCCCCCAGAAGGTCATACTGAAGCAGTGTTTTCTGGGGTGACACCCGAGGTTCGTCATCACATGCCAAGAAGATTAAGGACACAGACACACAAGGACTGAGTTTACGGTCAGGAGCTGCTCAGTTCTTTCTCACATTGGGCATAACCATCTTTATTTACTAATTTTAAAAAGTCAGAAGACTCTTGTGAGGATGAAATAAAACAATACATATAAAAAACTTATTACAAACCTCAGAATAGATACACACTTAATATGTGCTAGTGTTATTATGAGCATTTACTATTACATTGAAAATATGTTTGTTTCCGTCCTGGTGAATGATAAACACTTTGAATAGAGGAACTATGATTTACTTGTCTTTTTAATCCCTACTCTAATCATTAGACTGTTTAGAAGCATGAGCCCTGGAGCTGCATTCCTTGCTCTGTCTCTTACTAGCTGTGTGACCTCAGGCAGATTATTTCACATCTCTGTGCTCAGTTTCTTTATTTGTAAAATGAGGATAATAATGGTACCATGAAGATGAAACAAGTGAATACATGCGAAGTCTTTAGCATCTAACACATTATAAATACTACATATTAACTCCCATTATGATAGTAGCTTTTCTAGAAATATTTAACCAAATTTCACACATCAACTTATCCACTATGCCAGACACTAGGGTAAACACAGGAGTAGGGGCAAGAAAGAAATGATAGGCAAAGTCCTCATCTGAGAAAATGCACAGATATTCAGTGTGTTTCCTTTAGAGAAGCAAGCAGATCAGTGACTTGTCAAACTGTCCTTATAGCTGCTGTGTGGACAACAGACTACCAGAGAGCAAAGATGTAAGCAGAGACTTCAGCCCCATATTCCAGGTACTGTATATGATGTAATACAGGAGTGTAAAAAACTTTTTCGGCCGGGCGCGGTGGCTCACGCCTGTAATCCCAGCACTTTGGGAGGCCGAGGCGGGTGGATCACGAGGTCAGGAGATCGAGACCATCCTGGCTAACAAGGTGAAACCCCGTCTCTACTAAAAATACAAAAAATTAGCCGGGCGCCTGTAGTCCCAGCTACTCGGGAGGCTGAGGCAGGAGAATGGCGTGAACCCAGGAAGCGGAGCTTGCAGTGAGCCGAGATTGCGCCATTGCAGTCCGCAGTCCGGCCTGGGCAACAGAGCGAGACTCCGTCTCAAAAAAAAAAAAAAAAAAAACTTTTTCACAGAATTACTATACATATGGCAACCTGTATTCTACAGAAGACATTATAAGAGGAAAATCCCTAAATGCTCCAATAACACAGTTTGAAAACCAATGGCTGGAAATATTAGGCATTTATATTTAATCCTAGCCATTTTTCTAAACATATTGATACGTTAGATAGTACATCTAAGTAATGTTAGTATTTTTCAAACAGTTGGCTATTTAAAGCAAATTTTCTATAATGACTGTTTTCTAAAAATATTCTAAAGTGAAACTGATTTTGTATATTACGATACATTTCATTCAATTATTTTTAAACTGTATCTTCAGTGAAATTTCAAATTGCTATGTCTATGTAATCAACAGTAATTAAAGTATTGTAATAATATTGATAAACCTCAACTTAATGCCATTTTCCATATTAAAAACTTTGCCCTTTTTTCATATAATTTAATAGCATTTATCAAAAGCCTTTGCATATGATCTTTTCATTATTGTTTGATTTCTGCCCTAGAATTTCTATCAAAGCCAATGTAAATTTATATCTGAAACACAGTATTAGGGAATTGCTTAGTAAAAGATTTACTAAATGGAATTATGGTACTGAACAGCATGCACCTGTGCGATTGCATTTTAGAACTTGTGTTTGTGCTTCGGATATTTAAAGAAAAAAACAGCATATGATTTGGTTATATTGAACATTTGGTTATCTCAAGCAAACAGTATGTCACTTACTTGTGTAGCATGTTCTATGTATCAGGAAAGGTCAGTGGAGTAGGTGGTAGGGCTAAGAAATAAAATTTCAAAGAACTGTTCATTGGTTATTAACTGCGGTGACAAAGGAGTAATGAAAGAGTAAGGTAAAGGTCATTATTGTCTAAATTCTGATATATCAGATGCTCTGAGGTCAAAGTTCAAAGTCTGACTGCTTTTTGGCATAATGCATTCAGAGTTTTCCTAGACTCACTAAGAAAATTCAAGGTATCTTAATGAAATTATACAGAGGGAAGGTAGGGATATGGACAAATGTTTGAAGCTATTTAATTCAGGCAATCTGTAGCAATTTAAAAAAAATTAAAGAAAGAATCCAAGAGGGTCACAGGAGTATGCAGGGAGTATCTCTGAGATTCTGGAAACAAGTGAAGAAGTGTTCTACAGAAGCCAGGAAAACACTGGAAAGGTAGCCGTGAAGCCAGGTGAAAAGCAGAGATAATTTTGCTATCCTTGTTAGGTCAAACAAATTGTGTGAACTTGGACAGATATGAGTTTGCTGCAGAATACTTCACAGTATATTTGAAGTTGTGGTTCTCATGGTTTAAAAATGCTGTAATTTGTTAGGGTACAATTGACCGATTCAACTTACTTGGCTTCCTTTCAATTATTCTCTTTTGAATTATATAAAAAGTTTATATCGAACTTTTAAAATTAATGAGTAAACTATATACTGAATCTTCAAATACACAGCTTTCTTCCTAATTCATTTCCTGAACTCATCAAATGAGGTAATCACTTGCATGCCAGTAATTTTGTTTCACTGAACAAATGTTCATTTTAATTTTAACCTTGTCATTTCCAAGGAAAGAAATGATGGAAAGTTTTTTTTTCAAACACCACAAATGCTGAGCTGAGTATTTTTTATAGTACCAAAATTGTGCTTAATTGAAATTATAATTAATCATTATGTTTTATTGGTAAAGGATTACAACAAATCCAGCTGGTTTCCTGTAAGAGTTCATCATCTATTTCAGGGACTAAATTCTTTATAAGGAAATATGTCAAAGAATATTTATCTGTGCTAAAACCAGGACTTACCAAGAAGCTCTATTTAAAGTACACCAAATTATTAGCTAATGGAATTTCATCTATATTGGTTTTATTACTAAAAGAAAATTGTTTTACTCATTAAAAAGTGTATATAAGTGAATATGGCTAGAGGAAGAGGAGAATGTATACGGAATGTTTAAAAATGACAGAAAAAGCATTTTAAGTGAAGAGCTTATTTTGTCTATTGATAATCAGTAACTAGTGCTTAGTTACTGTATACAGTGCCTTTCCCACTGAAAATAAAGTGAGCTTCAGAAGTATTCGAGCTGTAGGCCTGGTGCAGTGGCTCACTCCTATAATCCTAGGACTTTGGGAGGCCAACATGGGAGGTTCCCTTGAGGCCAGGCATTTCAGAACAGCCTGGTCAACACAGTAAGACCATAGCTCTCAAAAAAATAAAAATCAAAGTTCAAATTAATTTTATAAATACAAAAATATTTTTTAAAAAGAAATATTCAAGGCCGGGCACAGTGACTCACATCTGTAATCCCAGCACTTTGGGAGGCCGGGGCAGGTGGATCACGTACGGTCAGGAGTTTGAGACCAGCCTGGACAGCATAGCAAAACCCCATCTCTACTAAAAATATAAAAATTAGCTGGGTGTGGTGCCGGGCACCTGTAATCCCAGCTACTAGGGAGGTGGAGGAAGAAGAATCACTTAAACCTGGGAGGCGGAGGTTGTAGTGAGCCAAGATTGTTCCACTATACTCCAGCCTGGGTGACAGAGTGAGACTCTGTCTCTAAATAAATAAATAAATAAGCATTCAAGCTGCACATAGAAAAGAATTCATAATGTGTGAAGTAACAATTTAAATCAACAAGAACTATTGTTTTCTTTTAAGTGGGACAGCTAAGCAGTGCACGCCAATATGCAAATTATAGTAAACATTTTGTTACCTGGCATGGTTGAAAACGAAGAATTCTGATTAATCAATTATTCAAACTTTTCTATTTTTCATGTACTTTGCTATGAATTCACAACAAAATTTGAATATGACAAAAAATACACTTAATCCTTTATCCTTTAGTATTTATGATCTAGAAACCTCTTCAACATCAAATGGTGATTTCTAATCATTATGGGTACTTTATCTTTTCTTCTAATCCTTGCAGGGGGCTGTTTTTCTGAAAGCCACCCCTAGTCTCCCTCAACACTGAGACTTCAAACGAAGCAACTTTAGTACCGGTCCTTATCATTTTATATGTGGACTCTGTATTAGTCTGTTATCATGCTGCTGATGAACACATACCTGAGACTGGGTAACTTATAAAGAAAAAGAGGTTCAATGGACTCACAGTTCCACGTAACTGGAGAGGCCTCACAATCATGGCAGAAGGCGAAAGGCACATTTTACATGGCGGCAGACGAGAGAATGAGAGCCAAGAGAAAGGGGAAACCCATTATAAAACGATAAGATCTCCTGAGACTTATTCACCACCAGGAGAACAGTATGGGGGAAACCTGCCCCCACCATTCAATTATCTCCCACTGGGTCCCTCCCACAATGTGTGGGAATTGTTGGAGCTACAGTTCAAGATGCGATTTGGGTAGGAACACAGCAAAATCATATCACACTCCTACGAGAAAATCTTTACTAGTTTCCCTCTGTATAGAATGTAATCATTATCAAGATGAATTTCCCTAGCCAGGCGCGGTGGCTCACGCCTGTAATCCAGCACTTTGGGAGGCCGAGGCGGGCAGATCACGAGGTCAGGAGATCGAGACCACCCTGGCTAACATGATAAAACCCCGTCTCTACTAAAAAATACAAAAAATTAGCCGGCCGTGATGGCGGGCGCCTGTAGTCACAGCTACTCGGGAGGCTGAGGCAGAAGAATGGCGGGAACCCTGGAGGCGGAGCTTGCAGTGAGCCGAGATGGTGCCACTGCACTCCAGCCTGGACGACAAAGGGAGACCCTGTCTCAAAAAAAAAAGATGAATCTCCCACAAGTGGAATTACATTTATATCACCCTACTACCACCTGCTTGAAAACCCTCACTGTCTCCCTACAGCCAAAATAATTAAATTTAAACACCAGTTCTGCTTCCCAGTTTTTGTCTTCCCAGCCTGCCTCTTGTTTCTTTTCCTACGTACTTTGTGACTACTTTTTCCCCCATTACGGCCTAACCGATCAGGCTCTTTACCCCAGCACACACTTTTGCACCTGTGTCTCTGCTGTTGCTGGCTTCCTGACTTAGAGGTCATTTCCATTCTACATTGCTAACATCCCCTTTATCACTGGAGACCCAGAGCAAGTCTCTGTTTCTCCAAAAGTCTTCAAAGAATCCTCCAACCACCATGAGCTCTGTCTTTCTGGATTATCTGCCTAGCCCTGTCACGGGAAAATGAGTGATCTACTACAGCAGTTCTCAAACTTTTTTGTTCTCAGGACCACTTTACACTCTTGAAAATTAATGAGGAGCCAAAGAGCTTTTGTTTATGTGAGACATACCTATCAGTATTTGCCATATTATACATTAAAACTGAGAACATTGAAGCAACTTATTTAAAAATAATAGTAGGACTATTGCTTAACATAAGTAACATTTTTATTTAAAACAAGCTTGTTAGAATTTAACAGAATCCAAACTTGTTCTACTCACCTTACCACAGCCAATAAAGTCAAGAAACAAGGAGCTGGAGCAAGAAAAGAAACTTTGTCTCAGAGAGCCAGCAAACCAGAAAGATGGCACTAGCATCCTGAAGTACTATCATAGTGTTTGTAGGCTTTGTACAGTTTTACTTAGGTATAGAGGAAAAGAAGGGGATAGAGATCAAGAAGTGGCCAAGAAAGGCATATATACGTGGGCACCAGCAGGGAGTATAGGAAAAGTTGTGAAATCTCTTTGTTTCTGGTTAATGGTCTCCTTGTACCTTTACATCTTTAAGAAAACCTAGTATACATACTTTCCCTTTTACCTTGAGAGTTAGTCTCAACAGTTGCAGGCTTTTGTTCCTTTGTTATCTTTCAGTGTTCTAAAATTATTCTAACGTCTGGGCAAGCATGAGCAGAGGCCAGAGGCCCCCTTTTAGTCTAAAATTTAGTTAACTGTGTTAGTCTTTTACCATTTCACTGTTACAGAAGAGTGACAGTGTTTTACATTTTTGCCAATGTCTGGCTTAATAAAAGACAACTGTATTCTGGGATCTCTTTCTATATTTAATCTGTTGTAATATCACATATTATAGGGTGTCTGCAAAACTTCACTATGCGCTCATGAGAGAACGACAGTGAAAAGAGTTTTACCAGAGCATGAACTTTAGGTTTGGGTGTCTAAAAATAGGTTCTCCATTGGGTCTTTTTTTATCTTTAGCTACCTGCAAAATATAAAAGGAACAAGGAAGTCACACATGGTCACAATTATCCAAGCACCAATTACGCTCTTTGAGACTTTAAATCTCAAATAAACTTCCTCCAAATATTAATATTGGATATCATTTCCACATGGTCTATTATTTATTTAAGAAAAAAATATAGGCTTTAATATCAATTTACGCAAAGCCTCTGAGTTTATGGAAATGTAAGACGTTATTACTGTTATAAGTTCACACTATTCCAAACTCAAAGGTAAATGAATTTAGGAATTATTTACATCACAATTCCTTTCCATTAGACATGGTGAGTGAAAATTAAGTCTATGAATTATCCCAAATTATTCACTGCTATTATGGCTGGTTGGTTTGTAGATATATTGAAATATATTATATAAATAGGCTTATTATTTTTAAAAACTGCAAATTAACTCCTATTTAATATTTGTATTTTTAAGAATTCACAACAAAATATGCAGTATGATCACAACCGTTAACATATGCAAAAAAACAGTATTAGGATTGTGGGCTAGTTTAGTATAAAAAAATGCATCTAAATCAAATGCAAACCAAACACATTCTGATTTCTATTTTTTTTTTTTTTTGAGACGGAGTCACTCTGTCTGTTGCCAAGCTGGAGTGCAGTGGCGCAATCTCAGGTCACTGCAACCTGCACCTTCTGGGTTCAAGTGATTCTCCTGCCTCAGCCTCCCGAGTAGATGGGACTACAGGTGCGCGCCACCACCCCCAGCTAATTTTTGTATTGCTAGTAGACACGGGGTTTCACCATGTTGGCGAGGATGGTCTCGATTTCTTGACCTCATGATCTGCCTGCCTCGGCCTTTCAAAGTGCTGGGATTACAGGCGTAAGCCTCCGCGCCCTGCCTCTATTTTTACTTTCTAATTTATCTCATTTCCTCTCCTAAGAACTACTTTATATATATATATATATACACACACACACACACACACACACACACACACACACACACACACATATATATATATATATATATATATATGTTTTTAAAGGATTTTTAAGCCAATTATTTGGGAAGTGAAATATTTGGAAAGTCGGCAAGGCATTTATTATTTAAGCAAAAATTATTTAACATGCTATTATTAGAAAACACAATACCTTGATGGGTGATCTTAGAATTTGGAATAAGCAGAATAAATAGTGTTGGTCCTCAAAGAGGTTATGCATTTTTGGAAGACAAATCAAACTCCTATGAAAACCATGTAAGGAGAAAGTAAAAACACAAAGGATACTGCAAAATGTACATCACATAGTGGGAAATGGTATATACCTCCATTATAGCGCTCTCAGAGATCCCTGTGCCGCTTCTCATCTTACACCCTCACTCCCCTGCCTTTCTTCAGCCATATTTTTGGTGACCACTTCCTTCAGGCTTTACACAGATGCATTGGGCAATACCTCAACTCAGACGATCTCACTCACTGGTGCAGTGGATTAATGCCATCATGCAACCATTGACCATTAGGAGAGGAGAACAAATGGAAAGAAACTTTCCTACGGCATCATGCTGGCAGATGCTTTATTGACTTAGTAGCACTTACCCATGACTTGTGATGGAACAGCCTGGAAAAGGTGCTGGAGCTGGTATAGTTCTCAGTCTTACAGGATTGAGCATCAGTCTCCTGTGACACCTTACTTAACGATGCATCTTCGCATTGGTTTTCAATTTCTCCCTTTTTACTCCCACTGCGCCTCTCTCTGCTCCTTGAAATCACTTCTCAAATAAACCATCTGCACTTAAGGACTGACATAGCACATTTGTGTAGACAAGCTTGAGAATTTATACCATCAAAATTCTTGAGCCTGTCAGAGGTAAATTCCTCACTAGAGAAAAGGAGCTTCCTTTTGCCTGGAGATATCACAAAAGCCCTGAGTGAAGCCAGAGCTTCACAAGATGATGCTTTTCCTCCTCACTGCCTCCTATCCTGTCTCCTGGATTGGATTTCTGTAGAGATGGAGTAGGGAAACAGCCCCTATCTTGGGAGGAATAGCTTACCCACCAAAGTATTCTCAATCTGGTCAGTGGAACACATGTGGGAGTGGATCGTGACTACTGTCTCAAGGTGAAAAAAAAAAAAAAGGCTGAATAGGCTGGGCATGGTGGCTCATACCGGTGATCTCAGCACTTTGGGAGGCCAAGGCGGGTGGATCACCTGAGTTCGGGAGTTCAAGACCAACCTGGCCAACATGGCGAAACCCTTTCTCTACAAAAAATATAAAATTTAGACATGTGTGCTGGCGCAGGCCTGTAATGCCAGCTACCTGGGAGGCTTAGGCACAAGAATTGCTTGAACCCGGGAGGCAGAGGTTGCAGTGAGCCAAGATAGCACCACTGCACTCCAGCATGGGCGATAGAGCAAGACTGTCTCAAAGAAAAAAAAAAAACAAAGGGCTGAATACTATTTATTGACTTACTAGCACTTACCCATGACTTGTGGTGGAACAGCTTGGTAAAGCTACCTGGACCTGGTATAAAAACTCTTGACCTGATTCCCTGAAGCTTGGACACAACAATAGTCTACTGTAAATGAGATGAAGATTTCAGAAATGCCTTGCCATAGCATTGAGGAAAGAATCAGAGGCAAGGGAGGTTGGAATATTGTAACATGCTTCTCATTTCTAACCCCAGTAGTTTGAGTTACCTAGAAGAGCAGCTATTCGTTTGCTGCAAAAGTAATTGTGGTTTTTGCTATTACTTTAATTGCAGAAACCACAATAACTTTTGCACCAACCTAATAGCTAGTCACTCAACCATGTACAACCTTAAAGAGCAGAGCAGTTAAGGCCTTGGGTCTACCCTTGACCAATAGTGAAAAGGACCAATAAGAAAGAGGAGCCAATGGCCAAATGGAGGTATCAGTTCTGAGACACATTTCATAAAGTGCCTCAGAAGGCCTAATGAAAGCTTGTGTAACCAGTGGCCCGCAGGCTGCATCAATTTTGAATGCAGCCCAACATAAATTCGTAAACTTTCTTAAAGTTTATGCACGTACCTTTTTTTGGGGGGGGTAATTACCTATCGTTTGTGTTACTGTATTTTATGTGTGGCTCAAGAGAATTCTTCTTTCAATGTGGTATGGGGAAGCCCAAAGATTGGTCACCCTGGATGGGATCATGTGCCAGTCTCCAATAGTTGAGACCAACTGAATGAAACTGCTATTATGGCTGGTTGGTTGTAGATTTACAAACATCCTTGTAAAGGATGTGCCTTTTCTCTGTTTCATTCCTGCTGCCCCTCACTCCTTCCCTATAATCATTCTGGTAGTGTGACAGGTCCCCCACCAGGTTAGTTAAGGGTATATTGTCACTGCATGAACCCTGAAGGTCAGTGGTAAGCCAAGGCCATGCTACCCAGCCGAGGATCAAGCGTCCCTAAGAACTCAAGCATCCCAGAGGCTATCTGGAAACATACCAAGGAAAACAGTTCCATTATACATAAACGGCAGGCAAAGAGCCAGAAAATTAGCTTAAAGGCAGCTTAGAAGTGAGAGGTGGCATGGATCTCTAGCACTGTCCTGCTGCCATCCAGGAATGCCCTGTATGTAAGTCCTAATAAACTCATCTACTCGTCAAGCTGGACTCAATGTTTGGTCCCTTGGCACTTTCCCAGTTTGGGGAGGGAGTGGTACAGTCCCAAGCTTTTCTTGTAACAATCTCCAAGTAAAATAACTGTGCATAGCCTTTATTTCAGGCTCCACTTTGGCTGACAGCTTTGTCATTTCATTGTTAAGGGTGGTTTGCTTCTATTTCTCCCGCTGAGACTATAAGGACAGGAACTTCAATTTACTCATTTCTGCATCCCCTTGAACTAGAACACAGAAAAACCTTACTGTATGTTTGTTGAATACTTTATGGTGTTTGTAGGAAATTTCTTGTGGGTAAAGGCAATAACAAGGTGGAGAACGGAATTGCATAGGTAGAGAGAAATATGAATGCATGAGGAAAACTATGGAGGAGTTAAACCTGTGAATCTCCTCTATCATTTATATGTTTCTGTATTTCCAGGTACATGCAATACAAATATTGGTTATCACACAGTGCAGAGGTTTAATACAACACAGAGGCAGGAATGTTTCAAGGCATGTTATAGGACTCTTTTGATTTCATAGAAATATAGATAAATGCCATTTAAATAACAGAAGCTAACCATGACCAACAATTTGTAGAATCCTGTTAAGCCCTGGACTAAGCTGTTTGCGTAATAAATTATCCCATTTACAAATGAGGAGATGAAGGCTTTCAGAGGTTGGATATCTTACTCAAGGTTACAATGTCATTAAGTAGCACAGCTGGAAGGAAAATCCAGTTGTATGATAGTATTCATTTGTCTTCAAGATGTTAAAGATATTTAAACATATCTATATCCTTAAAAAATCAGGAATCCCTATTGACAGAGACCATGTCTCACTCTTTTTTCCTCTTTCTCAGTGTTTCATAATGCCTTGCAGAAAAGGGGTGCTTACTGAATTTGGATGACAAAGAGATTGTGTGACTACAGAAGAATTAGAACAGGAAAGGATAACAGGATGAAAGGGGAATTGGAAGAATGAAATCTCAGAGTCTGAATCTTATTAGGTACACACTGGGGGCTCCAAGGACAACATCAGTGAAGTGGCAGTTTTTAAGAGCCAACAGTGAGCAAAGAGATTGCTAATTCTTTTATCCATAGGTCCCTCCAATCTCTCCATTTAGGTATATTGAGAGTTATAGTAGCTATGACAATATGGCAAGACTATTATTCCATATGAACACATCATTAAATGAGCTTGAGAATTTTCATGCATTAAAGTATTTTAACATAGAACAGGCACCTAGTTGCCTTTGATAGTAAATATAGACCTTTCTACAATTATATAATTACTTAATCCAGTGGTCCCCTTAATCCAGTGCTTTTTGGCACGATGGGACTTGTTTCATGGAAGACAATTTTCCCACGGATGGTGGGGATGCAGGAGGATGGTTTCAGGATGAAACTGTTGCACCTCAGATCATCAGGCATTAGATTCTCATAAGGAGTACACAACCTAGATCCCTCAGGTGCACAGTTCACAATAGGATTCTTGCTCCTATGAGAATCTAGGAGGAGGAGCCCAGGTCATAATGCTGGCTTGTCACTCACCTCCTGCTGTGTGGCCTGGTTCCTAATAGGCCAAGGACTGGTACTGGTCTGTGGCTGAGGGACTGAGGACCCCTGACTTAATCTGTTACAGCTTCAAGTGACTGTAATTTATGAGTAATAAGCTTGTTGAAAGCCTATATAGCTGTAACAAAGAAAAGCTATAAAAAATGCTGATTATATGAAATATACTTCTGGGATTAATATAAAAAGATATAAATGTCTTTACAACTTTAGTAAGTTTCAATTAGGATTTTATCTCTAAAAAATTTTTAAACTATCCTGAAATTAGCCAAATAAGAGAATAAAACATGATCATTATTCTCAAAATCATGACTTCTCCATCATCCTTCAACAATTTAATTAAAAAATGAGTAATAAATCTTAATGTCAGTAGATGTGTATATCAGAGTGAGCAAGAAGCCAAATCAATGAGCCAAAATCCAGGACCACACAACACTGTTGTAATAATGTTTTTGTTGTATAAGCAGATGCTATTTCATGTTTTATTTGCATACAGAGATTTAATATATTGATTCGATTTTAGTTTAGACTTGTAGAATCATGGGCAAAGTTCACTGAACATTTTCAAATAGAGAAGAAAGAACAGTATAATTTAGATTGATTCCATTTTTATTTTAAAATGGGATTATATTTTCATATTTAGATGGGAATTTGAGCATACAATTTGTGTTTAATTCTATAAAAACAAGAGGGATTATTAGCATTGCTAACTTTAAATGCTCCTTTAAGTACATACTAAATGTACCCCTACATAAACCATTAATGACAGTAAGCTGCTTTAACCCTATATTTTTCATCAAAGTTCAGATTTGCTGCTAAGACTGGTAGGCATTCCTGCAAATATGCAGTTCATTTAATGTCTATAATCCTATGGAAAAAAAGGAAAGGATATAAATATTATAAAAGCTGAGATTGTATTTTCATAAGGAGAAGTGACTTGAGACACTAATCCAACCCAACTAGTTAAAATAAACACTTTTCTGTTATAATAAATATAATATCCCATATATAGTTCCTTTAATACAGAGAAGAAATACAGATTTGAGAAGGCCTTGATAACATTTTCTATTTTTCCTACTATTTTTCTATTTTCCATTTAATATTCAACTTTTTTCCCAATATCACACACTATATGGATAAAACTGTAACATGTATAATTTGAGATTATAGCAAATAAAAGAGCCAGCAAATTAAAAACACATGGCATTTTGATGAAAAGATACGGTATTTTACATGAGAAAAGGTAATATTGACCACAAAGAAGTACTAAGCTAATCATAAAACTAGAAAGGAGGATTTCAAGAGATAAGCCCAAAAACTGTGCTAAATGAAACAAGCCAAGTACAAAAGCCCACATGGAATTATGTAGATTTATATGAAATCTACAGGCTAAGTAAATATACAGAGACTGAAAGTGGAATAGTTGGTTACCGGAGGCTGGCAAAAGGGGTAAGGAGGAGGTAGGAACAGGTGCGAATGTGTATGGGGGTTTTTTTTTGTTTGTTCTTGAGGGTTGTAAGGATGTTTTCAAATGTAAATAGTTGCGATAGTACCAAAGCTTTACAAACATAGTAAAAACCACTGAATTGTACAATTTAAAAGGGAAATTTTGTGGTATGTGAATTATATCAGAAGAAAAAATGATAATAAATTTAAAAACACATATGCATTATTTATGATAACATTGGTAGAAACTTGCAAATTTCTTAGGTAAAGAAATTTAAAAAGCATGAAGCCCAGAAATATGTAATTGAAGTGAACTATTTATATAATACAGCTGATGATTAGCAATTGTTTCGTGTGCAGTATAACTTGAAATACAAGACAAGTCTCCTTTTGAGGTATACATTCGTAAATTTTGTAAGTTTTCCAGGAAGTACACTCATCCAACAGCTGTGTAAACTGTAAATGTGAATGTTGTGGGCTTTTTTTTTTTTTTTTTTTTTTTTTTTTTTTTTTGCCTCACGCTAAATGTTAGGAAGCTCTCACAAGCATTTAGATTTTCAGTCATTATTTACCATCTCCCTAGTAGGTGTATAGATGTATATAAATATATCCATTTTCCATGTCTGACTTTGTAAGTCTGTGTGTGTAATTGGGATTGGCAATACAATAGCAAAGATCGGGGTGTAATTCAGCGTGATGAGGTACGAAGAATAGAGCACTGCTAGAAACGAGACTTGAGTTTTCATTTTAGCTATGGGCGTAAATTTTTACAACACTACACAAATCAATTATTTGTTCTTCAGTTTCTCCATCTATAACATTTTTTAAAAATTGGGCTAAGATAAATTATGGCAAATTGGTGTAATCTCAAGTGACAACTGAGCTATTGCTAGAGAATCCCTGGAGTACTTTGTTCAGAAACTTGGCAAAGCTCCCATTGAAAATGCAGCTATTGATTAGTGACGTCGGTCATGGGTATAAAGGCACAAAAGGATCTAAGCCCTGGTACCATGGACTAGATGATCTTTGAGGAACTTCTTATTTCTAAAATTCTATCACATTTAATTAAAATTTTTACACAGTATTCAATTCAACTAATTTCAAGAGCATGAACTTATTAATCTCACTCCTTAAAATTACACGGAAATAATATGAACATTCTAATATTTATACTACTGTAAAAATCATAGACTCATTTGGAAATATAATCTTTATAATGGATAGTCCCCATTTTTATATTTTGTTTGAATATCTATTACTCTTCATTTTTATTCTTCAACAAACATTACAGGAGTAGTAAATGACCTTTTATATTTCATAGGATTAATTTGTCTAAATATGGCCTGCCAAAAGTGAAAGATTTTTGCCCTCTGGTTAATAGTAGTGTGAATGTGAGAGAGAACACTTCAAGTAAAGAATGGCAAAACAAGCATTTCGAGGAGGGGCCAAATGCTTTCAGTTCCAATTTATAAACTTACCTACATTAATTAAGAAGAGTAATCTCAATGGTAAAGGAAATCTGCACCATTTTCAGGGGGAAAAATATCACCTGCCATAGCATCAAGAACCTATGTATGTATCAAGAGAAATATCAGAGATCCCAAGTGTAATGCTTGGTAATTGAATAACGCCCTGAAGTAATCAAAATGAGAAGTGGTCTGCAAGAAGTCAGCTAGTACATAAAATGAAATTATCGGTAATTAAGGTAAATGAGAACACTTAAATAACTTGCTTTAAAAACTTGAAATAAACCACAAATTAATGCATTCCTCTGTAATTGTTTTAATACTAACTATACACTGAATATATCAAGGACAGAATATAAGATATGTCAATTCTAAGATCAGTGAAGTATCTCTGATACAATAGATGAGGGTGAGTCAAATTCAGTTGACTCAACCATGAAAGTCATTAACAATGAGTAACTATAAAAATCTAGACTAATCTTACTGCTTTATACATTCTTCTGAAGTCCTCTAAAACTTGTTGAGGATAATTTCACACAATAGAAAATTCTGAGAAAATGCTAAGGACATAGTAAACAATTTTTACAGAATATAATTTTGGGGCCCGGCATGGTGGCTCATGCCTCTAATCCCAGCACTTTAGGAGGCCAAGGAAGGTGGATCACAAGGTCAGGAATTCAAGACCAGCCTGGCCAATATGGTGAAACTCCGTTTCTACTAAAAATACAAAAAAAAATAGCCGGGTGTGGTGGCGAGAGACTGTAGTCCCAGCTACTTGGGAAGCTGAGGCAGGAGAGTTACTTGAACCTGGGAGGGAGAGGTTGCAGTGGGCCGAGATTGCATGACTGCCCTCCAGTCTGGGTGACAGAGTGAGACTCCGTCTCAAAAAAATATGTATATACATACATATATATATATTTTGTATCATATAATATACTGTATAAATATTTCCATCAGAAAAACTTGATTAATAAAAACTCCAATGATATTTTGCTCTAGGCTGGTGTTGACAGTCTTCAAATCTGGTTTCTAATCTATACCTATTAATGAACCAAGGAAAATTTGCTACCGTCAGTCATTTGCTAGAGTCAGAAAGATGCTGAATGACTGTTCATACTATAAATAAAGGAGAAAAATGTGAGTAAAATGCACAGCTAGATTATCAGGGAATCTTCTGTAAGTTCATCATTCAGGACTCTTGTCTTCATTCTTCAGTGGACCATGTTAGTAAAAAATCTGAGAATATTTAATTTTGGTAGTATTGTTGTGTCACTGAATCTTGGCAGCTGACAGAGCTAGATGTTCATTTTTTCATTTTTTAGTTGTCCTTGGAAAAACATCAAAGTAGAAAGCGACAAGCTCATCCTAAAATTCAACTCCCAAGTAGCCAAAACAATCTTGAAAAAGAAGGAGAAAGTCAGAAGACTCCCATTTTCTGATTTCAAAACTTTTCACAAAATCAAGACAGTGTGGTCTTGGCTTAGAGATAGCCAATTCTTTTCCATCGGTGGAAAAGAAGTGAGAATCCAGAAAAAAACAAAAACATGTATTGATAGATTCTCCAACCAAAATTAAACACTATTGTCATTTATGGAGTATTCTCTATATGTCAGGCATTGAACCTACAGTATTTGTGTATTTTCTTCCCATCTTAACCACAACTATAAAATATAGTTTGTATTATACCCATTTTATTGATAAGGAATCTGAGGCTGAGAGAGTTGAAATCAATCAGCCTAGCGAGTGGCTGAGTCATAATTCTGAACTGAGGTCCACCTGATGCCACAGACTAATTCCAAAGGGCTCATGAGCACCATCTTCTGTGATTACTTTGATGTGTCTTCATAAAATAAATAAAGTGAATATTAAAACATACTAACACTAAAACATAATTGTAAAGATAGTTTCATTAACAAATGTAGTAGGCTCTTCCATATCAAAAGCCAAACCAAAACAACACAAGACATTGCAATTATGCATCTAGAATATGCACGAGGCATGAAACTCTGGGCTGTGAAGAAGCGGAGTTCCGTTTTCAGCATGATTGTAAGGTAAGTCTACAGTTCAGATTTCACAAACTTCTATTTTTGGTTTTTATACTTCAAATTTTTTAAAGTATTACAGCATCCAAAGAAATATATTTTATTTTATATGCTTTGTAATCATGAGCAAGTTTCTGTATCCCTATTAATTTTCTTGCTCAACTTCATTCTTTGCACAATGTTATGAAAACATACCTAAAATATAAAAATAAATTACTACCACAAATCTAAATTCTATTTTGAAATAAAACATCTATTTTGTCAGCTTAGACCTAATGATGCTTTCATCATTCACTCATAATACACACAAACAAACCAGATCTGGGTATCTACGTAATTACTAGAGCACAACACTCCCTTAAATAATGCGGCGTAAATGACATTACATTAAATCCAGCTAGACTTTACACTAACAGAAAGCACCTCTCTTTGTTAATGCATATTTGGGAAGTGGTGGCGCATAGAAGGGACCTTGACGTTCCTAGGATGAAAAGTACTGGTTATGTTCCTTTAGGCTGTAAGAGGGGCTTTATTGTATGTAAAGAAGAAGGGGAAGGGAGCTGAGAGCATGAAGGTGGGAAGAGGAAGAAGGGAGAGGAAGAGAAGCTGAGGCATGAGGCAAAGGAGATGGAGGACAGACTAAAGGTGGAAAAATTTGGGAGCAAGTAAAAGTTAGACTGAAAAGAGAAGGAGCTTGCTCATTGACTCTGGTGAGATATAAGTGCAGTTGGCTCCTATGAGAGTTTTGTCACGTACCTGAGACGCCTCCTCTGTCCCCAGAGCCAACCTGCTGCTTATGACTGGAAGCGAAAATGTGTGTAGACCCAGGTAACACACCAGACTTTACCCAAAACGACTGTAACTCATTTATCTAAGATGAGTTTTTTTCCTAAAACAAAGCACTTGACCACCATTAAATCTACCGTCACTAAGACAGCATCAAGATTCTCAATTACGTTCTTGAGTCTAAAAAGGACCTAAGTTTAGTTATATTTTTTCTTTGCCTCTTGACTCAGTTTTACAAGCAGTTCCTGAAAACTTTGAATATAATCTTGTATTAAATTAGATTAGATTTTGCCTTCATGTTTTTAAATTACAGTCTGCAGTTCTCAATTTATATCCAGCAAATATCCCTAGGAAAGATAAAATGAAAAATTTACTTCCAACCAGCAACTTCCATCTCCTCATTAATGGTCATTTAAAAAATTATTTTTTATGAGTAAGTTTTTTTTACCCATGACTATAGTCAAGTTGCTTATCTACTGTGTGGTTTCTTTTATGAATTACAGCAATTATACTACATTTGTAGCTACCAAGTTGGTTAGCCTTAATCTTATGTTTTAGAGATATTTATCATAATCAATTTTTTGTATATGATGTCACACTCATTTGTGAGTTATTTTCATTTACTGTTTAGGTGGCTAGATTAATTTTTCGAGTAATAATTTTGGTAACGTTACAATTGTAATTCCTAACTTCTTGAATATATGGGGTTAAACGTGCAGCATGCAATCTGGGAAAAAAATTTGACTTATGTATGAGTGAGAATTTTCCAGAGAAAAAGAATCATATATATATATATATATATATATATATGATTATATATATAGATACATATATATACACCGAGAGAATTGTGTGTATATATATATATACACACACATATATATACACACACACACAAATATATATACACACACACACACACCCCAAGACAGAATGGGATTTATTGATTGATTGATTGATTGGTTGACTGAAACAGAGTCTTGTTCTGTTGCCCAGGCTGTAATGCAGTGCTGCAATCTCAGCTCACTGCAACCTCTCCCTCCCGGGTTCAAGCAACTCTCCTGCCTCAGCCTCCCATCTAGCTGGAATTATAGGTGTGTACCACCATGCCAAGCTAATTTTTGTATTTTTAGTAGAGACGGGGTTTTCCCATGTTGCCCAGGCTGGTCTCAAACTGCTGACCTCAAGTGATCTGCCCACCTCAGCTTCCCAAAGTGCTGGGATTACAGGTGTGAGCCACCGTGCCCAGCCAGAGAAACATTTATTGTTAAAGAATTAGTTCACATGTTTGTGGAGGGTTGGGCAGTCCAAAATCTGATGGAGTAGACTAGCAGACAGGAGACTCAGGAAGAGGTGCAGTTCTGGCCCAAAGGCAGTCAGCTGGCAGAATTCCTTCTTGTTCAGGGGAGGTCAGTTTTTCTTCTGTTAAAACCTTCAATGGAATGGGTGAGGCCCACCCTCGTTATGGTGAGTAACCTGCTTTACTCAAAGTCCACCAATTTAATTGTTAATCTCATCTAAAAAACACATTCACAGAAATATCTAGAGTATCGCTCTCCTGTTTCATTAATCTATTTCTCTAACTTTTTACAAATATCACAGTTTCAATTATTATAGCTTTATAGTAAGTTTTGAAATTACGTAGTACAAGTCTTCCAACATTGTTCCTCTTTTTCAAAGGTGTTCTGGATCTTCTAGGTTCTTTGCATTTCCATATGAACTTTAGAATCAGCTTGTCAATTTCTAAACACGCTTACTGGAACTTGGATGGGGATTGTATTGAATCTATAGATAAATTTAGGATCAATTGATATCTTTGTAATATTGAGTCTACTGATCCATGCTCCATTCATTTAGTACTTCTTTTTTTTTTGAGACTGTCTTGCTCTGTCGCCCAGGCTGGAGTACAGTGGCGCAATCTTGGCTCACTGCAATGTTCGCCTCCCAGGTTCAATCAGTTCTTCCTTCCTCAGCCTCCCAAGTATCTGGGATTATAGGCACCCACCACCACGCCCGGCTAATTCTTTTATTTTTAGAAGAGTTGGGGTTTTACCATATTGGCCAGGCTGCTCTCAAACTCCTGACCTCAAGTGATCTGCCCATCTTGGCCTCCCAAAGTGCTGGAATTACAGGCGTGAGCTACTGCACCCAGTCCTTTCTTATACACCTTTTATCAAATTTATCTGTATTTAGTATTTTTGGTGCTATTATAATTGGTGGTATTGTGTTTAAAATTTAAGGTTCTGACTGTTCATTGCTAATATAGAGAAATACAATACATTTTTGTATATTGACTTTGAGTTCTTCAACCTTGCTAAATTCACATATTTCTAGTAACTATTTTGTATATTCCATCACATTTTCTATTTATATGCATAATCATATCATCTACCAAAACTACAGTTTTGCTTTCTCTTTCTTCTATTCCAATCTGGATTTCCTTTCCTCACCTCCCTCCCTCCCTTCCTTCCTCCTTCCTTTCTTCCCTTCCTCCCTCCTTCTACTGGAGAGAAATTCATTCCAGCACTATACTGAATAGGAGTAGTAAGAGTGAACCTTCTTGACCTGTATTTGAACTTATGGGAGAAAGCATTCATGTTTTCACCATTAAGTTTGGTATTAGTTTTAAGTTTTGGGTTTTGTTTTTTGGGGGGTGTCCTTTATCGGGTAGAGGACGTTATCTTCTATTCCTAGCTTGCCAAATGTTTTATCCGCAGTGGATCTTGAATTTTCCAAAACATTTTTCTGCTTGTATGGAAATCAATAAATGGTTTTCCTTTTTAGTTTGCTAATAAGGTAAATGGCATTCACTGATTTTTCAACAAGTAAACCAATCTTGCATTCTACACATGAGCCCTCTGCCAATTTTAAAGTGATTCCATACACTGTTAAATTAAATTTGCTAACATTTTGTTTCGAATGTTTGTGTCCATAGTCATGAGGGATATTTGTCTTTCTGTTTTTTTTTAAATAGTATCTTGGTTTTGTAATGAGAGTAACACTGACTTCATGGAATAAGAAAGCATTCCCCGCTCTTAAATTTTCAGGAACAGTTTGTGTAAAATTGGTGTCATCTCCTCCTCAAATGTTTGATCAGATTTATCAAGAGAGCCATCTGGGCCTGGAGTTTTCTGTGTGGGAAGGTTTTTAACTACAAACTGATATTTAAAAAAATATATATAGTGTTGGGGTTGTCTGATTCTTCCTGGGTGAGCTCCCGTAATTATCTTTTATGTATTTGTGTATTTCACATAAGTTGTGAATTTACTGCATGCATTTATATATAATATTTCCTCATTATCACTTTAGCACCTGTAATTTCTGTAGTGATGTCATTGCTCTCATGTCTGATATTGGTAATTGTACCCTCTCTTCTTTCCCTGATCAGTCTTTTTAGAACTTTATCAATTGTATTGATCTCATAAAGAACCAGCTTCTGGTTTTACCAATTCTTTTCTTTTTCCCTTTTTTCTTTTAGGTTTTCTATTGCATTGGTTTCCACTTTGATTGTATCTATTTTTCTCCTTCTTTTGGCTTTAATTTGCTTTTCATTTTCAAGATTTGCAAATGTATTAATCTAAAGGCACTGATTTTAGATCTTTCTTCAGTGGTGTGATCATAGCTCACTGTAACCTTGAACTCTTGGGCTCAAACAATTCTTCCCCCTCAGCCTCCCAGGGAGCTAGGACTACAGTTGTGCACCTCCATGGCTCGCTATTTTTCTTTTTATTTTTTGTAGAGATGAGGTCTTGCTATGTGGCTCAGGCTGCTCTCAAACTCTTGGCCCCAAGCAATACTCCTGCCTAGGCCAACCAAAGCTTTCTGGATTCTCCTGGTAAGCATTAGATAACTGGGGAAATAACTTATTAAAATTTCAAAAATACATATTTTGGTCAACTAATATGCAAGAAAACAGTCTCCTCATAGATTCACATTCATCTCACTTACAGATTATTGTATTAGGCCAGTTAATGGATAGGGATGTAATATGAGCTTCAAAATCATCTGCATTTAGAGATGAATAGGTAAAGTCCAAAATATTAAGAAGTACAAAGCTACAGTTAAGACTACAAATTTGTCACGCTAATACTTAATCCAATGTTTCTGTGCTATTTTATTATGATTTTTTTTTTTGAGATGGTGTCTCACTCTGTCTCCCAGGTTTGAGTGCAGTGGCACAATCTCGGCTCACTGCAACCTCAGCCTCTGGGATTCAAGTGACTCTCCTGCCTCAGCCTCCCGAGTAGCTGGGATTACAGGCGCCTGCCACCTCACCTAGCTAATTTTTATATTTTAGTAGAGATGGGATGTCACCATGTTGGCCAGGCTGGTTTCGAACACTTGACCTCAAGCAATTTGCCTGCCTTGGCCTCCCAAAGCGTTCGGATTACAGGCATGAGCCATCACGTCTGGCCTTTATTATGATTTTGAATTTCACGTAGCATTCAGTTAAAAAAGTTAAGGAAACTAACTTAGATGGCTGTGGTTTAATTTATTGACAAGAGCATCAAGAAAGAAGAAAAGACTATCATCTCCAATATTTGCTCTTCTGTACTCTGTTGTTGGAAAACAATGTGGATTCTTAGCAGAGCAAAAGACTGCATCCTTACTTGGGTCCTTACTGTTCCTCAGCTATTCTTTTTTCTCTCTCCCCCTCAGCTTCTTCTCTCATTCCTCAAAGCAGTTCATTCACACCCTTCAACACTTCCCTCTCATTCTGAGCTGAAGATCTTATCTTGAATTATAACTCTACCAGGCGCAACTTCTGGAACCTGAGACAGTTATATAACTTTCTAAACTTTCAAATTCCTATTTGGTAAACTGGAGACAGTAATAATGCCAACCCTACATGGAAGAATTAAGGTAATATATTACAAGCTGTTGACAGAGTGAGTAGCAGAGTAAGCTCAATACACTTTGGTTTTTGTTATCTTTATTAATGCCTACTTTTTTTCCTATTCCACTTAAAAAGGAAGCTTCAGGACAGGTGCGGTGGCTTACGCCTGTAATCCCAGCACTTTGGGACGCCCAGGCGGGTGAATCACAAGGTCAGGAGACTGAGACCATCCTGGCTAACACGGTGAAACCTGGTCTCTACTAAAAATACAAAAAATTAGCCGGGCATGGTGGCAGGCGCCTGTAGTCCCAGCTACTCGGGAGGCTGAGGCAGGAGAATGGCACGAACCCGGGAGGCGGAGCTTGCACTGAGCCGAGATGGCGCCACTGCACTCCAGCCTGGGCAACAAGAGAGACTCCTTCTCAAAAAAAAAAAAAAAAAAAAAAAGGAAGCTTCGATTCCTAAACTACCTCAAAGTTACCTAGACATTTATCTATAATCTCTCTAAATCCAATGTCCTTTCTCCCTCCCTGAGATCTTGTCATTCATTTCTCTTGTTCTTCACCTCAGTTAATAGGATATCACATCCAACAAAATTTTTTATTACCCATAATTTGTCCAGAGCAAGGTTTTGTTTTGTTTTTTGTTTTTGTTGTCATTGTTGTTAGACAGAGTCCCACCCTATCACCCAGGCCAGAATGCAGTGGCGTGAAATCGGCTCACTGCAACCTCTGCCTCCCGGATTCATGCAGATTCTCCTGCCTCACGTTCCTGAGTAGCTGGGACTATAGGCACACCACCACACCTGGCTAATTTTTGTATTTTTAGTAGAGACGGGTTTCCCCATGTTGACCAGGCTGGCCGTGAACTCCTGGCTTCAAGTGATCCACCCACTTCGGCCTCCCAAAGTGCTGGGATTACAGGCCTGAGCTACTGCATCTGGCCTCAGAGCAAGTTTTGACTCATCTTTCGTTATTTTGGCTCAAGTTTTACCTCCTCTATTTAAATGTGCCCACCTTCACTCCTTTCCATCTGACTGTACCTCTTGGGGAGGCCATTAATCTTTTTTTGTTCACTTTGCCTTTTTTTTATTTAACTATAGTTTTTTCCTTACATCATCCTCTCTCTCTCTTTTCCCAAGTAGACTGTTAAAGAGTACAAAGACTTCTATTAGTTGAATTTCCAATACCTATCAAGTTCTCAATACTTAGTGCTCATAACATATTTTTGTATTTTGTATTTTGTATAACATATTTTGTATATGGGAGGTTTCCGAAATCATCCTGATTTACATCTTTATAGATTCTTTTGACTTTAGAAGACCTTTAATTAACATTTAAAAATTGATAAAACTCAAAAAAGGGAGAGACTCCTGATTTTCCTTAATTATAGAAATTAGCTAGAATCTGAAAAATACAAAAAAAGATGCTTTTCCATGTATTTTTCCAGTTAACTATCTGCCTTTTAGCAAATATTCCACTTTCAACTGTGCAGTTCTTTATTAAGAGGATTTTGATAAGGCATGAACTATAAAGGGATCAAAGTTGTATATATGAGAGATAGCTGAAAAAATAATAATAAGTAACTTTCCTCTTCCTCTAATTAAAAAGGACCCTGAGGCCAAGGAATTAAAATATGCAACAGGACAAACCATGTTTTTAAATGTAAAATACAGGAACAATGTCACTTTGTTTCTTTTAATGAATGCAGAGCCAAGTTCCTCTATAGTTTGGACTATGGAGGGCAAGGGGGAGCTCCCCTTGGCCCTCTGAAGGCTGGCCAAAAAAATCAACTTACAGAAGGCAAGTTAATTGGAGAAAAAACATACAAAGTTATTTCATATGTATACATGGGAGCCTTCAAAATGAAGACCCAAAGATACAGAGGAAATTGTCCATTTTCATGTTTAAGTTAAACAAAGCATAAACAGCCATCTAGAAATATGACCAGACAAAAAGGGCATGATCTAAGCCTAGCCGACCAAGACAGGAAATGCAGCAAGGCCTGTCTGTCTACATTCTTCCTGGCTTCTCTGAGCATGCATTCCTTCCTTCCGGGTAAGGGGCAGGGCCCTTTCTGGAATGGCTGTGATTTGGTTTGACCCACCGAAATCTCATCTTGAAATGTAGCTCCTATAATCCTCACGTGTTGTGGGAGGGACTTGGTGGGAGGTAACTGAATCATGGGGACGGGTTTTTCCTGCGCTGTTCTCGTGATAGTGAATAAGTCTCACAAGATCCGATGATTTTATAAAGGCACTTCCCCTGCACACATTCTCTTGCCTGCCACCATGTAAGGCGTGTCTTTGCTCCTCCCTTGCCTCCTGCCATGATTGTGAGGCCTCCCCAGCCATGTGGAACTGTGAGTCCATTAAACCTCCTTTTCTTTACAAATTACCCAGTCTTGGTATTTCTTCATAACAGCATGAAAATGAGCTAATACAAGGGGTCATATGATGTACAGTCAAACAAGTTAGGTCAGATAATTCCTTTAGAAGGTCCGTTTTTACACAGAAATGTGGAGTGAAAGTTACAGTAATGTTTTCAGGTTTTATGGCTGACTTTGGGGAAAAGGGATTCTGGTTTCTATGATCCACCTTGGTAAAGAGGGATTTAGTTTCTAGAACTAGCCTCAGGGGAGAGTGGGACTGAGAGAGAGGAGGGCAGGGGAAGCTCAGAGAAAAACTTTTGCTTCAGAGGCTGCTTTGGAGGCCTTTATTTTGGGGTACTGTTTTCTAAGCCCCAGCAGATAATATACTGTGTGTTCTGGTATGATGTGGAAGTCACTCTCTTTTTCATCCTCTCTTATAATAGTCTCCCGTCAAGGCAGGTTTACAATCACTGATGCAAAATCTCTCATCTAGAAACTACTGCAAACAAACACTAGCACACCAGGGTGCTGTGAACAGGGATCAAGAGTCAGTAAAATAGATTTTTAAAAATTGCTTTTAGCCTAATCACTGTATCCTATTGTATGTTTGTATGACCAGATTGGGCAAGAATATGTTCCTTAGGATTTTACAGAGATTCTGTATCCAAGTACAGGGAAAGAAATATTCTCTCAACTATGGAAGACTATTGAATTTTTTCATGTATTCACTAGGAATTGTCGCTTACTCTGTAGGGTTTAAAACTAAAAAAAACAGAAAAAAAATACATTTTAACTTTACAATTATAAAGTAGTGCTCCCATTCTGCCTGATTATAGTATTCATCAGTTAAAAATGCAGTTTCTCTGACCCCACTTCAGACCTGCTGAATCAGATTCTCCAGGGAGAAGCCTGGGTATTTCTATTTTCAGTTGGTGATTCTTAGGACAGACAAGCTTGGGACATACTGTAGTAAAGGAAACTATGGAATCGGAAGATTCAACTAGTATGGCAACAGAAAACACAATAAAAAACGTACAGATGTTCCCTGCTGGAGATTTTACCAACAGGAATAAAAATGGTGCTAAGGTTATGCAACAGCAATTAACACTCAAATTAACTGAAAAAGGAATAGACATAGTACATTAAGTACAAACCTGAAAAATGACAAGACTTGGCACAATGCCATTATAACACATGAAAAGTCTGGCCATCAGAACAGCATTCTGGGTTTTTTTCTTTTTGACAATTGACAGTGCAGTTTAACTTATTGACAAAGCCTTCTTGTTTGGAAGGATCATTCCTAAAATATTTGATCATCCAGAAGTTGCTGCGGCAAATAACCTGAGTCATCTGTGAAAACAGTCATGAAGTAAAGCCAGTTCTCATATGGATGACAGATGATTTATTCCAAGTGGCGGATGGAGGGCAATCTGTCATATTTTTACAATGTGGGAGGTGGAATTTCTAGATTCCTGCCATTTGGCAGCAATATTTTTATTATTTTGGTTAATGTTTAATAGATGTTGATACAGTATTGTTTAGGAAGCCCGCACCTCATTTGAAATAGAAAATACATGAATTACGGAAAGAAAGACGCAAAATTGCCTGTAATCCCGGCACTTTGGGAGGCTGAAGTGGGCGAATCACAATGTTAGGAGATGGAGACCATCCTGGCTAACACGGTGAAACCCTATCTCTACTGAAAATACAAAAAATTAGCTGGGCATGGTGGCAGGCACCTGTAGTTCCGGCTACTAGGGAGGCTGAGGCAGGAGAATCGCTTGAACCCAGGAGGCAGAGGTTGCAGTGAGCCAAGATCGCACCACTGCACTCCAGCCTGGGGACACAGCGAGACTCCATCTCGAAAAAAACACACAAAAAAAAACCCACTTAAAAAAAAAAAAAAAAAAAAATATATATATATATATATATATATATATATATATATATATATATCCTGAAAGTTGCCTTTAATAGGATTAAAATAGAACAAAATAGGAATTCTGTTTGGCAACCTAAAGGAAGGGCAATAACTAATATGGCAGTAGTAGAAATATGTTTCTTAATGAACTGATGTTAATGATAATGATGGTAACTAATACTAACAACAACTTTCCCTTGTTGGGTGTTTACGCCTATTTTGTGCTAGGCATTACACTCAGTAGTTTAATGGACTAATTTATTAAAATCTCACAAAACCTCTATGAGGTTTTAGAAGTCTATGTCAATAAGTTAAACTGCACTGTCAATGTCTATGAGGTAGGATCTCCAGCGATCTTTATTTTGTAACTGAGGAAACGGAGGCTCTCAAAATTACTCAGCTGGCAAGTGACAGAACCAGCATTTGAACCCAGGCAGTCTGGCTCTGAGGCCTACACTATTAACCTCTACCCTATTGTATTCATGGCTTTCTTTTGCTGGAAGCATGTGTGCCTCATTTGACTCTAGTCTGAAGCGAGCAGTGGATAGGATAAATAAACGGTGTGTTCTTTTCTACAGAATTTTTTTTTTTTTTTTTTTTGAGACAGAGTCTCACTCTGTTGCCCAGGCTGGAGAGCAGTGGTGCGATCTCCGCTTGCTGCAACTCCACCTCCCCTGTTCAAGCAATTCTTGTGCCTCAGCCTCCCAAGTAGCTAGGATTACAGGTGTGCACCACCACACCCAGCTGTGGAGCCATTACCATTTTTGTATTTTTAGTAGAGATGGGTTTTGCCATGCTGCCCAGGCTAGTCTCAAACTCCTGGCCTCAAGTGATTCACCCGCCTCAGGATCCCAAAGTGCCGGAATTACAGGCATGAGCCATTGTGGCTGGCCGATATTTTTTTGTTTAAGACACAAGATTTCACTCTGTTACCCAGGCTGGAGTGGAGTGGTACGAACGTAGCTTACTGCAACCTCGAATTCCTGGGCTCAAGCAATCCCCCCTTCTTAGCCTTGTGAGTAGCTGGGGCTACAGGTGTGAGCCACCATGTCTGGCTAATTTTTAATTTTTTCTAGAGATAGGGTCTCATTAAGTTGAAGGAAGCAAAGCCTACTTAAATTGAAAATACATATTATTGAGAAATTTCAGATCATAGGGCAGAAGAAGAAGGTCCTAGAAGTATCCAGAAAAAAAAAGTATGTCAAGTATTAGTTTTCCAGGGCTGCCATAGCACAGTGCCACAGACGGGGTGGCTCAAACAAGAATTTATTTTCTCACAGTTCTGAAGCCTACAAGTCTAAGATACAGGAGGCGGCAGGGTTAGTTTCTTCTGAGGCCTCTCTCCTTGGCTTGTAGATGGCCATATTGTCCTTGTGTCTTCCCACTGTCTTTCCTCTGTATGTATTTGTGTCCACATCTGTCATGTTAGATTAAGGCCCACCGTAATAATCTCATTTTAATATAATTACCTCTTTGAAGACCCAACCCTCCAAATACACTCACATTCCGAGGTTCTGGGGATTTAAGACTTCAGCATATAAATGGCGGGAAAGTGGACATAAACCCGTAACTGGTTTCACACAAGGATGGGTCTCAGAATGGTTTAAATTTCTCTAACCCTGTAAGTAAAATACCTTTAAAATCATAAGGTTTCTAAGTTCAGCCAAATTACTGATCAAATAAAAAATAGAATAAAGACTTCGTCAAACATGTAAGGAGTAAAATGAGTAACTCACTGGCATTCTTTTTGGGAAGGCACTCAAAGATGAGCTTCTGCAAAATGTAGGATAAAGAAAAGATTGATAAAAATATGGGATCTAAGGGACCTGCTGTGGTAGCTCATGCCTGTAATCCCAGCACTTTGGGAGGCCAAGGCAGGGGGATCACGAGGTCAGGAGATCAAGACCATCCTGGCTAACACGGTGAAACCCTGACTCTACTAAAAATACAAAAAAAGTAGCCAGGTGTGGTGGTGGGTTCCTGTAGTCCCAGCTACTTGGGAGGCTGAGACAGGACAATGGTGTGAACCCAGGAGGTGGAGCTTGCAGTGAGCGGAGATCGCGCCACTGCACTCCAGCCCAGGCGACAGAGCGAGACTCCGTCTCAAACAAACAAACAAACAAACAAGAAAATATATATATTGGATCCGGGAAATGATAATCCGACATAGGAGCTCTAATAAAAAGAAGTGTCAATCTAGTCCTGATGGTTGCAGAAGGATGGCATTCTGAAAAGCAGTCTGAGGGCTGAAAAAGGTGAATAGAACAGATGGACTATGATATAATTGAACTTCAAAAAAATATTGCTTAGATATTTAACAATTTAATTGGGCATTTGGGAAAAAATAAGAATATATACACGAAACTAAGCAAGTGAAGAAATAAGCAGTTTGTAGACTTCAGCAAAAACTTGCGCAAAGAAAGACAAAAATCATAGTTTGCAATTTGACTTACACGTGAACAGTGTTTACACTGTCAACACAATTTAAACTCTGCTGCTTCAACTAAAAGTTATAGCATAAGTATATTGAATAGATAGATGGTGATAACACATAAGTGATGGTTGTATAAAGGAAACCAATAGATGATTAAAATATATGAATCAAAACATAATGAGCATATTACTTAGAAACATAAAGGTAAACGTCAGAAGGAATAGATTAAAAGTTATCAGTCGTTACTTCCAGAGATCAAGACTGAACTAAGGTGGACACAGGTAGGATAAGAGACTGTGTTATTAAATACTTTTTCAAATACAATTTGATTTTTAACTGTCTACCAGTATGACTTTGGTAAAAACTTTCTGAAAGAGCACTGAAAACAAATAAGTAAGGCAATCAGCATCCTGTTAGATATACATTAAGCACTCAGTAAGTGTTATCTATCACTATTACTATTGCCATTTGTTGGAGAAGAAAGATGGAAGGACAGGAAGAGAGTAATATGTAGCCTCTGACGAAACTGCTTGAGTACCTGTGGGAGTCAGGTTAAGCCCATTGCCATAAACCATTGTAGCTTCTTCTTTCCCATTCCCAAAACATTGTGACCAATTTGAAAAGATGAAAAGAAAACCTACCATGATTCCAGATTCAATAAACATTTACTATGCAGCTACAGTAGTTTAGGCACTAGTGATTTAAGATGAATATGGCATTGTCTTATTTTCCAGTAACTTAAGACCTCCTGTTGTAATCAACATGTGTCAAGTTTTGCTCATTGCCAAAGTGAAGTATAGCGAAAGTACCATGTGTGCATCAAAGACAGGACAATTGATCCAAACTTTGGGTTCCAAGAAGGATTCATGGAAAAGGGATGCATTTTATTTAAGCCTAGAGAGTGTTTTCATAGATAAAATTATGAAGTAAAGAGAAGGAAAGTCCAGAGAGAGAAAATTGGTTAGCAAATCCTCAAAAGGGAAAAACATGTTAGAGAAACCTTGCAGTCTTTTGTGGTTAAAGGTCAGGATGAAGGAGTGTAGAAATACCAAAAGTGATGTAAGGAGATGCTAGGGGCCAAATGTTTACAGTGTCCTAAGTTTTTATAAACTGTCTGTCTTAGACTTGGGTGGGTCAAGGAAGATAGCAAGAATACAAAGGAAAACTGTTATTTGGTATTATAGCTATACAGAAAGAGTTACTTTCTGTACCTTATAAGAATTTAAAGTTATTATGTTATACCTTGTAAGAATTTAAAGTTATTATGTTTGGTTGCTCTTGAAAAAGGTTAAAAAGGCCAAGGCTAGTGACCAGTTGAAAGAAAGAAAACTGAGATTCTTTCATTTTGACAGGTGCTGAAGGCTTAATATTCATGAACAGAAAATAAATCATGGGACTTTTCAAGTTCCGAAACTTTGCTAAATGATTTATCTACTGATGTTTCCTGTCACATTCTCTTTCTCTTTGTAGATTAATAACTTATAAATGATTTGCTGTTTTTACTGAGTGTTTTAGGGTTTGTTTTAAAAGGGGAATTTAAAAAAGATTTGATTCATCTACCAGGTTCAACTGGTGCCTACATCATTTTCAATATTTTTAAAAGCTAAGCAAATAAGAGACAATCATTCTTTGTAAACTGTCTTAGATCAACTGAAATGCTGGTTTCCTTTTTTGTGTGTTAACAGTGACTAGTTCTCAATGATCTAAAATTATGATTGGCAGTTAGATCTCCGATTGACTAAAAAATCCCAATGGTGATTTTTTAAAAATGTGATGACTATAGAGGGAAAATAGTCTATGGGACCTTTGGTGGTAATTTAGGTTGAAAACAAGTAACATAAAATAATGGCTTTTGAAAACAATAAACTTGCATTAGATACGGAACAAAACAAAACTGATTTCCTTTGATCTACTAACTTCTGTCAAGATTCTTGATAGAATACCCAGTTGACATACAGAGACTTTCAGCCACCACCAGAGGCCACCACCAGATACGTGTACAGCTCCGTAGAGAAAGACTCTAGCTGCTTTTGCAGGTCACCTGCTTTGTCAATGTTGGCAACAATGAAAGACAGTCAAGGTAATAGAGGATATATGAAAATGATGGTTATGATGATGGCCAGACAATTGAACCAAGACAATAAATGGCTAAGATGGGTTAGAAAATAAAATTATTGAAGGAATGGAGTTTAAAATATAGAGTGCTGGAAATATGATCTATATTGGTATTGAAATTGCCAAGTGTATTCATCTGGGTTCTACAGAGAAACAGAATACAGAATGTGTGTGTGTGTACGTATGTATGTATGTAAAATGAGGATTTGGCTCATACACTTATGGAAGCTGAGAAGTCTTAGAATCTACAGTTGACAAGCTGCAGGGAGGAAAAAGAACATTAATGGTGTAGGGAGAAGACTGATGTCTCAGCTCAAAGATAGGCAGAAAGCTCAGTCTACCAATTCAAATGCTAATTTCATCCAGAAACACCCTCACAGACACACCCAGAATAATGTTTAACTAAATATCTAAGCACCCCGTGGACCAGTGAAGTTGACACATAAAATTAACCATCATACCAAGAATGAGCATTGGATTATAAATTATGTTGAATGACAGAATGCAGACACAAAAGAGAGGCCATTTATCTCATTATAAGTCCATTGACATGAACTTCAAATATAGGCAAAGCTGCTCTGTAGTGATAGATATCAGAAGAATTATTACCTGATTGCTGAGGTCAGAGGCGTGGAGTGTGACTGGAAATGGATATGATAGAATTTTCTGAGATAATGCAAAAGTTCTAGATTTGATTTGATGATGTTAACATGGGTGTATACATATGACAAAACTGATTTAAAAGCACACTTTGACCTGTGCCTTTTATGGTTTGAAAAGTAAATGTTGATAAGGAAAACATAGAAATGCAAATAAAATGTTTAAATAATTTCAGGTAAGAGAGAGGCAGAAGGATAGAGAGTAAAACATAGAAAGAGAGAGAGAGGCTAGTGGGGCTTGGCATTAACAAGAGGCACAGTGAACCAGAAATTAAAGCATCAGGATGATAGTAACCATGAAAAGTAGTGGGTGATGGAGTCTGATGGCAAGAGTTGGGGCAAGTTGGAGAAGAATGGAGAGAATAATTTGGAACCCACAGGAGAAAAAAAAAGAAAAAAATAACTACCTACTCTCAGGACTAGTTCCATAAGGTCTATGAGAAAAAATAAAAGGCACCTGTATCAGTTGAGAATTCAATCCGGTAAACAGGAACACTATAAGTAATATGGGATATAAGAATTCATTGTACTGATTAGACTATACACAATTGTAGGAATTGGTGAAGGAGCTGGGGAAAGTTATCTCTCTGCCTCTGGTGGTGGCTGAAAGTCTCTACATGTCAACTGGGTCAGCAGGAAGGAAGAAAACCCTTATTTCAAGGAAAGGAAACAAACAAAACTGGAATGCATTCGAACAAACCAGAATCAGCATCATTTTCATTGTTTCTGAGCTTGACTAAGAAGGCAACTGGCAGAAGAGGGGAAAATCTAAAACATAGGTTATTTCCAACTCTCCACCTAATTCACATCTGCACTTGTGCAATTAATCAAGGTTAGAAATAGACAAAACCATGTAGAGCGATTCAACTTCAAATTCATCGCTAGGATCCTTGGGTGGATTCCTTGGCAACTCACCTGAAGGTCATTTTCATGGCTCTTAAACTGTAGTTTTCCGGTGCTTCCCTGCTCCGGTTCTCCTACAGTACTATTTTATTAATACATCTATTCTTCTATTCACATCTCCAACACCTTCTCTCTTATTTTCACTTTCAGCTTTTGCACTTGCTTCCTACATCGCTGAGCAAATTGAAGCAATCAAATGAGAGCTTCCAGAAACTCCACTGCATCTATTAGTCTACTCAATCTGTGTTCTTATGATCTTTATCCACTGGAAGGTACAATCTTAAGGTTAAAACCTACATTCCTAAATAAACTCATCTGTTTTTCTCCACTCAAAGGTAACTATCCCAGCAATTTTACATCTCTTATCCTAAATTATCCATTTTTCCTTTTTGATAGGTCATCATCAGCATACAAACCTACTTTTGTCTCTTCCATCTTAAAAAACAAAAACAGAGCCGGGCACAGTGGCTCGTGCCTGTAATCCTAGCACTTTGGAAGGCCGAAGGGGGGCGGATCATTTTAGGTCAGGAGTTTGAGACCAGCCTGGCAAACATGGTGAAACCCCATCTCTAGTAAAAATATAAAAATTAGCTGGGCATGGTGGCAGGAGAGATTACAGAATCCCAACTACTCAGGAGGCTGAGGCAGGAGAATCACTTGAACCCGGGAGGCGGAGGTTGCAGTGAGCTGAGATCACACCATTGCACTCCAGCCTGGGAGACAGAGCGAGACTTTGTCTCAAAAAAAGAAAAAGAAAAAAAAAAGAAGAAGAAACAAAGAAAAAGAAAGAAAAAAGAAAACTTCTCTTGCGTGCATTTTCCTTCCAGCTATTACACAATCTACCTGTCCTCCTTCATAGCAAAACTCCACAACATAATTGTCTATATTCGTATTCTCTAAATCCTCTCCTCTCATTCCCTCCAGAACTCACTTCAATTAGCTTTAAATGCCACCCCTCCGAAGAATTGCCCTCGTCAAAGGAGACAATTCTTCATGGGTCTATAGCGTTTGTGTAAGTTTTCTAAGAAAAGGCACTAGCTCCCTTAGTTCTGGAATCTAATTTTAACATGTTCGTTTAGCAAACATCCTTGGATAGTGTCTCCTTCAGGGCAAGAGCGAGGCAGGCTTACTGCTCATTATAAAAGATTTGGGTACCCTAAGCTTGAGGATATGTCTCTTCTATTGTGTCCCACTGCTTTCTACACATCACTGGGCCCTCTTTAAATCACCCGGTGGGAATTGGGACTTGGAAGCAGACGCTAACACTCTAAATGCCCATGGTTCATTTATCTACCAAGTCCCTGCTCAAACTTAAACTTCTCAGAGATGCTTACCAAGAATACGCCATTAATTTGAAACGACAACCACCATACCTTTTATTCCTCTTACTTTGCTCCATTTTTCCTGATAGCACTTACCGTATTTTCCGTATTTTGTCATTTCCTTATTTACTATGTTTATTTCTCATCATCTGCTTCCCCTATCTTTTTAGAGATAGAGGATTTTTTTCTGTTTTGTTCACTGATGTATTCCTAATATCTAAAACAGGTTCTGGCAGGTAGTAAGTTATCAATATTCGTGCAATGAATGAATAAATTCATCTTTTTATTTTTCCTAAATTTCTACTACCAGCTTCTTCTAACTCTGTTATGGTATGCCAATGGAAAGGAATGAATTAGTTGGTGTGATGTATCGTGAGTGTGAGAAATATGGGGGAAATAGTAAGTGTAATGACCGTGCTAAAACGACCCAGCTCTCCCTGTTAAAATGACCCACACTCCTTTGCTTAGAGGTGATGTAGATGCTTCTTCCATCCAAGACAGCATATGCGTTTCTCAGGGTCTGTTCCTACTCCCCACTTAACCACTGGGCCTGTATCTAGGGTCAAGGCACAGAATAGCCCAGCTGGAAATGTGCTGAGCCTGGTAAGGGAGAAAAATCACTCTCTCCCAAAAGTAAGACCTTGTCGGCATGTATCAGAAGCTAGGACAGCATACAAGGGGTTGAACTCAGAGGGTGTTTGATCAAGATGGCCAATATTTAAGGTTGGATAAGTGAAAATGACTAATTTGAGATCACTATTCCAGAATATTGGATTGAACACTCTGACAAGGACCCTAGGAGACAGCACAAATTCACAGTTAGGATGGCCCCTAGAGGCGTGGAATAATTAATAGCCTACACTAAGTGAAACTGGAGTGCCAGATATTGCTTTAGCAGAGGGCAGAACATATGTTAAAAGGCACAGAGAAATGAATATGCTGGAATGGATATGCTGTGTGAAGCTAGAAAATGTAGCAGATGATTTTGTGCTACAGTGAGACCCAGAGAGTACATCATTTATCAAGGACGTATAGAACATGGTATTGAGAGGGGCATGAGCATCACTAATTTTAGTGGTCGTGGCTTTCCTCTACAGGACAAAGTTGAGTCTATTAGACAGTTAGGCTCAAAAATAAAATAAGGGTGATGGGATTCTGGAACAGTAGAGGCCACTTGGTTAGATTCACTGTCATAAATCAGGTAGGTGCAATATTTTTATTAAATGCAAGGTAGAAGGGTCAGGTAGGGGCCTGCAAATTTAAATAGTGTATAGTGACCCTGGAGGCAAAATAAATGAGTAGTAAACAAGGATACTACTCCATTTGTACTATCAAAAGAAACTAAAAGTGGATGGTTATAAGTCTGAGTGCAATTTCTCCAATATAAGCCTATGATCTCTTTCTCAATTTCTATACCTTTGCCAGTTTTTGGACATGGAGCCCACTGACTCCAGGAAGAGTCCATTTTCCCTGGAAGAGTAACCCAGCAAGATCATGGCAGGTATACTTGGTGGAGGCTCCCATACTGCCCCCCAAAGGGAGCTGTGCTTATTTTCTTGGGTAGAATTGTGCATTAGGGGAGGGGAATACACAAACATTTCAAGGGCTGCTAGACAAAGAATATGAGTAGTCACTAATACCTGGAAACCAAAAGCATCCTCTTGGGGCCTTGCTAGAGGTAGGACATATGTAGAACAGATAATAAATGGAGTCCTGCTGGAGGTTCAGGCACAGTGGGTTCACTGGGTATGTGAACTCACCTGAAGGTCATTTCCACGGTTTTAAACTATATACTAGGAAGATAAATAATTGGCATTTGACAAAACACCAACATTGGGTTCTTTGTCAGGTGTGATCTATCACATTTGGGGAGACAAAGTAGAAGCCTCTGAAACTGCTCCTTTCTACTCCAGCCAAGACTGAAATCAAAACAAATATTTTATCCCAGAGAGGGATGGCAAAAATTGAGGCCACTCTTTATTATCTAAAGGGTGGAAGATACGTAAATCAACCTAAATGCTCATCAGCGGTTGAGTGGATGAAGAAAATATGGTACATATACACCAGGGAATACTATGCCATCATAAAAAAGAATGAGATCCTGTATTTTGCAGCAGCAAAGATGGAGCTGGAGGCTATTATCCTAGGCAAACTCATGCAGAAACAGCAAACCAAATACTGCATGTTCCTTATAAGTGGGAGCTAAACATTGAGTACACATGGACACAATGTTTTTGCTATTAAGAGAAAAGTTTAAAAATGGCCCCAGGTAGATAATATGCAGCTATAGATTTGGTGAATGAGCTCTTTATCATTCCTATCAAAAAGGAGAAACAGAAAGAGCTTGCAGTTACACAAGAAAAGAAAACTCCCTAATTCCAGTTTTTGTTGCAGGGCTGCATTGTCTATTTCACCCTTTGTCATAATACAGTCCAGAAAAGTCCGTTCTGTCTGGATATTCTGTGTGATGCCACACTGTTCCATTACAGGTATTGACATAACATTGTTTAAATAGGACGTGCAAAGGTGGTTAGTGTGCTGGAAATCTTGATAAGAAAATGAGAGGCCAGGTGCGGTGGCTCACGCCTCTAATCCCAGCACTTTGGGAAGCTGAGGCGTGCAGATCACGACGTCAAGAGATTGAGACCATCCTGGCTAACACAGTGAAACCCCGTCTCTAATAAAAATACAAAAAATCAGCTGGGCATGGTGGCATGCGCCTGTAGTCCCAGCTACTCCGGAGGCTGAGGCAGCAGAATCACTTGAACCTGGGAGGCAGAGGCTGCAGTGAGCCGAGATCGCGCCACTGCACTCCAGCCTGGGCGACAGAGCGAGACTCTGTCTCAAAAAAAAAAAAAAAGAAGATGAGAGATAAGCCCTATGGAGATTCAGGGGCCTGAGACATCAGTAAAAAATATTGCTACATGTCACTCACACCATTTAGATAATAAACGCCATACGACATCCACGGACTATGAAGGAATTCAGATCCATATTTCATCGACTGTATCTGACAATGGAAAGACAACTCGAAACAGCCAAATAAAGACTGTGAGGACAATAGCAGCAGCAGACAGCAGAGCAGCTGGTATAGCAGCAGGCTGGTATGGTGGGGTTATTTTTGAACAAAGATCTCAAGCATGCCACGAGTGTAAGAGAAAGAAGTGCAAATAATACCATGTTGTGTAAATACCAGCTGGCCTTGTAAATCAAAGGGCAAACTGTACGTCCAGAAGTCACTGAAGAGGTTACAGCATATTTATTGGTCTTTTTAGTGGAAATCATCAGGATACTCCTTCAGCTATGAAGAAGGGTGATATTTAGACATTTTGATATTTCAGTTTCCAAACTCAATCGGAAAGGTTATAATTGGCTACTTGGTCATTCCAGACGTACACTTAATGTAAGTTTTATTTTGGGGGCTCACTTTTTGAACTTGATTCTTAAGTTAGCTTTTCAATATGCAGTGTCTTCTTTTTCTAATTGGATAGTTCATTCCCTAAGGGCAGCAACTATGTTTTATGTTTATTTGTTAATTTCATTGCACCTCCCTAGTATAGTTCCAGTACCAAATGTTTGGCAAATATTTGCTAATTCTTTTTATTAAGTTGATATCTGTGCTGGGCTCAGTAGCTCACACCTGTAATCCCAGCACTTTGGGAGGCAGGGATGGGAGGATCGCTTAAGGCCAGGAGTTCGAGACCGGCTTGGGCAACATAGCAAGATCTTGTCTATGCAAAAAATACAAAAAGTAGCCAGGCATGATGGGGCATGCCTGTATAACCCCAACTACTCAGGAGGCTGTGGCAGGAGGATCACTTGAGCCCAGGAGTTTGACCCTGCTGTGAGCTATGATTGAGCCACTGCACTCTAGCCTGGGCAACAGAGAGAGACCCTGTCTCCTGTCTCTAAAGAAAAAAAAAGTTGATGTCTGAAAGTTGGACTCATACAATAGAGTCAAATAATACAGAAACATCAGAGACCAGGGTGGAATTTTTGGTTCTTTCATTCACTTTGTCACTTTGGATAAGTTACTCAATAACACTCATCCTTATTCTGTTAATAATATCTACCTTGCAGGATTTTTTTTGTGTATTAAAGATTATAAAACCTAGCACTGTTCATAGAACACAGTAGAGGTTTAATAAGTGGTAGCCACTATTATCAGTTTTGTCTATGTATTTATTTGTTGAGACAGGGTCTTTCTCTGTTACACAGGCTGGAGTGCAGTGGCAACAGTTTTGTCTTTTTTTCATGATGTTTTAGGACTTGTTGAAGAGATAATTATCACTAGATAATCAACTACCTAATTATAATATTTTGCATATTCTATATATGCAAAGATAAAAACTCATATGGATATTGTTAAATGACATATTATTACACTTTTTTTTTTTTTCCTTTTTATGGAGAACGGGATCTCACTATATTGCCCAGGCAGGTCTCAAACTCCTGGGCTCAAGCTATCCTCCCACCTCTGCCTCCCTAAGAGCTGGGATTACAGGTGTGAGCCACTGTGCCCAGCCTGTTACGTGACATTTTAAAAATTATTTAATTTGTGTCTGAAGTTATCTGAGTGGTCACCAAGTCAAATCTCCCATGTCATCCAGTTTTTGTTTAAACACTTCCAGAAATAGGTCTCTTACCACCTCAAGTCTTCAGTCTTGGGGCAGTCTTAAAGTCAGAATATTTCATGTTTAAAGTGAAAACAAATGAGGATATTTGTGACTTTCCCCCTACTGACTTTAATCTTGCCTTCTAGAACTGTGCAGACAAGCCTGTATTGCATATAAGTTTTTTAAATAATAAAGTGGGAATGATATTAATACCAAGAGGTTAATGTTAACTGTGACTTTAATATTAAATGTTATTGATCTGAGGGTGGTCAGTCAGGAAAGACTTTAAAGAACAGGCTCTTCTTGAGTTCGTGCTAACTCCCATCGCTCTTCATATTATTAACGTACCCAAGTAAGATTCAGATTCTTCTCCTCTGTGCTCCACAACCCCCTGCACATATCTATAGCCTGGTCAACTAACTCCAAGATGGCAGCCAAAAAGACTGCCATATGGTAAGTACTCAACAAATGGTTTACAAATAAGTCAGTGAGTAAGACATAGCCAGGAATATGAGGAGTAAAGGCATTTCAGGAAGCAGGAGCCACATGCAAAAACCTGGAGGTATGAGACTGCTCAGAGATTTGAGGTAACTATAAGTAGTTAGATGGAAGTAGCCACGGTAAAGAGTATTAAAGTTGTAAATATATAAAGTAAATTAAATTATGTGGAACAGCGAATGCATTAAAAACTACTTAGGAGAGAGTCTAACATATGGAATGTTGTCATCAAATGTTAGCTATTAACTTATTGTTAGTGATAGAACTTGTTGAGGAATTCAGGCTGTGTTCAGCCTGTTTTCTTCAGCAAATGTCTCTGCGTTGGCCGGTAGTAGACAAAAATCGTACAAGGTTCCCAGATGGTGCTTAGCCTTAGTTTCTCCAGCCTCTTCCTTGTAAATCAGCTGGAGAAAGAATATTGCACAGAAGGGTTAGAGAATCACTTCCCAAAACAATTAGCCCTATTTGTCACAGTGTATGTAAGCAAAAAGATAAAAATTCAGTGATTAAAGAATAGGTTTTTAACTCTATCTCTTGACTAGAAATTTCTTCATGCCTTAGTTACCTAAACCTTTGGGTAGATTTACAAGACTCACTCTGATTTGTAACACTGAAAGGAAAAAAAAAAATTGGGATCCTGAACTCACTAAGCCAAAGGGAAAAGTCAAGCTGGGGACTGGGTCACACAAACCTGCCTCCCATTTTGTTCCTAGATAGCTACATACCTCCCTCACGTATTACTCACAGGGAAATTCCTTGTGGGCCCCAAGATCTTTACCCTAACACACAGTTCTATCAAATTTCACAGGGACAGTGTAAATTGATAGCTTATCCTCATAGGTACGGGACAAAGGACAGAACTCAAAGTCATCCCTTCACTCTACTGAGACAAAGGCAGGTCTGACTGCTTTCTCTATCCTATCTTTATTTTATCTTATATAAAAATGCAGATTCACTGAGCACGAGACAAATGCATCTGTGACTATTCCTCTACCCCCTTCTCATATGTAAAATGTGTGTTCAGTGAACGCTGATCAGAAACTCAAAAGGAAGCAACCGTATGTCCTCTCTTTTCTCTTTAAAGATTGGGGGGGCCCCAGACCCTCTTTGGAAGAAAGCATGGAGCACTGTAATTTTTTCTGATAGTTTTGTGTTCCTTTTTTCCTAGGTGTGTCCTTAACCTTGGAAAAATAAACTTCTAAGAATGACTAGACCTGCCTCAGTGATTTTCTTTGATTTACAACACAAATCTAGCTTGTGAAGTTATGAGAAAAATATCTCCTGTAACAGATTGTTTTGGTGACTTTCTTTCATTTTGTTAAATAGTATAAAACAAAGTATTATTTTTGATGAGTGCACCCTTTATTGCAGAAGGAAATGATTTGTTTGTCACACATAAATCAGCATCTCTTTTAGGGCAAATGTATCATGTTTTATAGGATGAAGACCCAGCACACCTGGCAGCTGCACACTTTGTGTCTGAGCTGGGCTTGGGAGCTCCCAAATCCCCTCTCTGCTGTTCTCCTTCAGTGCTGGCCTCTGCAGGCTGCATTTCCCAAACCTCAACGTCAGCAGGCCTTCAGTTGAGTGCACCCAATGGGAGGGGCTGCTGGAAAATTGCAGGGTGGTGATGATGGTAGTGGTGGTGGTGGGGAAACAGGAGAGGAGAAAGTTAGGGTGTTTCTCCTCCTCCTCCGTCTTGAGCAACTCTGATAGAAGTCATGAATTCTTTAGACTCAGCTCCCAAAAGACAATCCTGCCAGAATTCCACCTGCATTTGGATGTGACTCTGTCTCCTGCCCTCTGGTAACAGTGTCTCTTCTCTTTGTTTCTCCTGTCTAGAGATGGTGATGGCTTCAGATTGGTCCTAATGTTTAGGATTACTCACCATCACTTGTTTGTTGTTCTAGCTTTTCCAATATCCATGTAAAAAATAGTAAATAAAACCAAATCAAACTAACAAACAAAAAATTCTAACAAATTCCTTCTGTTTTACATACTTAAGGACACCATGTTCTTGATTAAAGCCTCACTGCTAGAATGTCCTAGTAAAACAACACAAAAGGAGATAAATTTCTTATTTTGACTATTTCAGCACCAACAGAATTACAAAACTTTACAATATAGGATTTTCTAGCCATATCAGAATTAATCTTTTATCTTATGTATCTGATTTGTTTCAGAATAGAATATATTATGAATTCTAAGCCCAAGGGACTGAATGGACCCCATCTGTTGGCCAAGGGGATTCCAAAGTAAACCTGAAAAACTATTTTAGGCCACGATGGGAAGAGAGGGTCAGACATGCCTCATTATACTTTTCTCCCTTTTGAATTCATGCGCAACTGGCCAACATTCACATTAAAACAGAAATCTTAAGACTGACAAAACAGACTCTTTGTGGCAGTGAGATACCAAATTCCAATGTAACTGTAGTATAGCATCACATGACAGCAGATCCTGAAAGAAATGAAATATCTCACCCCAAAACGTAACTCTTTGACATATTTTGAAATGGCCCCTCAAAGCTTTCTCTTGTAGAGGAAATTCATATTCTGCAGAGAAACCTCTTCCCTTTCCAGGTGTTTTTCTGATCCTGAAGAGATTAGCTGAGAGTCCAGCAACTTCTAAAGGTCTGAATAGAAAACAGCTGCCATCTATTTTCTCTAAGGGTGGCCATCTGTGAGACTTCATCTGCATAATAAGAACCTTGGTTTCCACAACCCCTTAACTTGGACAGTCCTTTCTATTGATTCCAGGTCTTTAAATAACAACTTAATTCCTCCAGTCAATTGCCAATTAGAAAATCTTTGAATTTGCATATGACCCAGAAACCCCTACTTCAAGTTGTCCTGCCTTTCCCGACTGAACCAATGTAGACCTTACAGGTATTGACTGATGCATACCTGGAGCTTCTGTCCCTCTAAAATGTATAAAATCAAGCTGTAACCCAACCATGTTGGACACATGTTTTCAGGACCTCTTGAGACTCTGCCCTCAGTCTTGGTCACTCATATTTGACTCAGAGTAAGTCTCTATAAATATTTTACAGTTTCTCTCTTTTTCATCAACACACTCTATCCTGAATAGCCAAGAGACTGAGATTACTGGGGAAGGTCAAAGTCAGCATACTTATTCATATTCCCATTTGACAGAAAGAAGATGACTGTTTTAGTCAATTTGGGATGCTATAACAAATACTATAGACTGAGTGGCTTATGCAACTAACATTTATTTCTCATAGTTTCATAGCTGGGAAGTCTAAGATCAAGGCACCGTCAGATTTGGTGTCTGGTAAGGACCCCTTCCTGGCTTACAGTCTGCACTTTCTTGCCACATCTTCATATGGGAGAGAAAGAAAATGAGCTATGACATCTTTCTTTCCTTATAAAGACACTAATCTCATCATAGGGACTCTACCCTCATGACGTCATCTAAAACTAATGAGCTCCCAAAGGACCTACCTCCAAATAAACAACACACTGGTGATTAGGGCTTATAAATTTGGTGGGGACACAACATTGTCTATTTTATTACCAAGATGACAAAAAAACAGTTTATTTTTGAGAGAGGGTCTTACTCTGACACCCAGGCTGGAGTGCAGTGGTGCAATGATGGCTTACTGCAGCCTTGGCCTCCTGGGCTCAAGCAATCCTCCAGCCTCAGTCTCCTAAGTAGCCAGGACTACAGGTGCGAGCCACTACACCCAGCTATTTATTTTAATTTTTTTTTTTTTGGTAGAGATGGGGTCTATGTTGTTCAGGCTGGTCCTGGGCTCCTGAGCTCAAGCAATTTGGATTCCCAAATTGCTAGGATTATAGGTCTGAGCCACCACACACAGCCAACAAAAACACTTTAGAGATAAATAAGTGTATTCAAAGTGGATAGTGAAGAAGAATTTTAGGTTACTCAGGAAAAGGAAACTTCAATAAAGAGGGGACTTAGAGTCAAAGAATCGTGACATTTTCTACTTTAAATCTTCCTTCCCTTCTCAAATGCATATCATTTTATAGATAATGAAACTGATGCTTAGAAAATTGACTTTTTGGAGACCACACTGCCTATATTAGATTAAGGAATAGAGTTCAGATCACCTGAATTTCAGACGAGAGTGTTTTCAATAATATGCTGCTACTCTTCTTTTCAGTAAAAAAAAAAAAAAAAAAATTGCCAGCACACTATTCTAGTAATGAAAACACTAAAGTAAAACGAGATAATAAATTAGATATAGTTTGCTTTTGAAATTTTAAAACAACGATGTCAAATGAAGTGATCCTTGGAAACATCTAACATGGGAGATAGAATTTAGAAAAATAATAGGCTAATTGGATGTTTCGTTTGCAAATAAATACTTTAGCATATAAAGAAAGATGTGCTGATATTGGAGTAACAGATTAGGTGGTACAGCACTTATAATTTGAATGCTCAGCTAAAAGAAAGATTGAGAATCTAAAAACAGACCTGGTGTTATCTTGTGTATCAATATTTTCTCTAAATGTTTAGTATCTCAGTAACAAGACATAAGCCTACCAGGATAAACTAGCCCTTATAATAATACAAATGGATAAATTAATTGTGCTTTGTTCAACTCATCTAAAAACTTTTAAGATAGACTTTGGCCACTGTCAGTGACTGTGGCTACGGAATTGGATGCTAGAAAAGAAACTGATTGAGGCAGAAAATAATCAGGTATTTAGACTTTAATATGAACACTGATGAACACAGCAGAAGGAGGAAATAAATCACGAGACAAATCTTGCTCTCAAGATACTCAGAAGCTTTGAAAACCCAACACCATGGCATGTTTAAAGTTAATATTTTCAGATTAAGTAGAGAAAAAATTCAAAGTAGTAGAAATACGGTCAGATCATTGAAAGAAGAAAAATATAAAGAACTAAAATCATTAAAACACAATAAAACTAAACAAACAAACAGGAAAATATTCCTCAAATTTAATAGGCAATGAAGAATGACTAGATAGTATTTTATCGGTTTGTCATAGAAGAAGGGAAGCTAATAATATATGCTGGTATAAAAACTGAAGCTTTTCAGTGCACACATTTCTGCTTCTTCAAATAAGATAGTGTGTTAGATGACTGGCTGAATCAACTAACGGTTATATTAAAAAGATGCAAGATTTAAGTGATTAGAAAAATAAATACAGTCCCTGGATATATTGCTATTACTGCATATGCAGGCTTATTTATGGACCTAAAGATATATTTGCAGTGCTACTAGCTTCAATGAGAAAGGAATATAGAATACATTCCTGAACACCAGTAAAAGGAAAATATAGGCTTACCTTAGAAAATTGTGGGAGAGGAGGCCAGGCGCGGTGGCTTGTGCCTGTAATCCCAGCACTTTGGGAGGCGGAGGCAGGTGAATCACGAGGTCAGGAGCTCAAAACCAGCCTGGCCAAGATGGTGAAACCCCATCTCTACTAAAAATACAAAAATTAGCAGGGCATGGTGGCGGGCGCCTGTAATCCCAGCTACTTGGGAGGCTGAGGCAGAATAATCATTTGAACCTGGGAGGCGGAGGTTGCAGTGAGGCGAGACAGCACCACTGTACTCCAACCTGGGCAAAAGGGCAAGACTCCATGGAAAAAGAAGAAAATTGTAGGAGAGTAAAGAGATTATTCTTGAGAATTATAGAATGATCAAACCAAAATAATATTAAAACCAAGTACCAGCAGTCATTTTGCATAGTCCAGATATGCACAAATTTCAGTTACCACATTTTAATTACCACTTATCCCTGAAAACCATGCTTCAAGTCTTAATGATTACTCTATATTAACTGTGAATAACTGCCTAAAGTACAGACTTATTATAGCCGGCTTTACAGTTGACAAATAGCTGCATAAATAACAAACACACCATGAGCAATGACCAATCACGTCACTTCTTTCAAAGTCTGTAGCTAATTGGTCACTGTGCATCTGTTATTCAATTCACTTAAAGACAACAGAGTAAGCTGGGCAAGGTGGCTCATGTCTGTAATCAGGCACCATGGGAGGCCAAGGTGGATGGATCACTTAAGGTCAGGAGTTTGAGACCAGCCTGCCCAACATGGCGAAACCCCGACTCTACTAAATATACAAAAAAAATAAGCCGGGCTTGGTGGTGGGCACCTGTAATCCCAGCTGCTCAGGAGGCTGAGGCAGGAATCACTTGAACCCAGGAGGCAGAGGTTGCAGTGAGGTGACATCGCACCATTGCACTCCAGCCTGGGCAACAAGAGTGAAACTCTGCCTCAAAAAAACAAACAAACAAACAAAAAACTCAAACTCATATTCAAAGCAAAGTTCTCAAATAAATAAACAATAAAATACAAAGCAAAGCTCTGTCCTTGGTCTGCTCTCTTCTTTCCCCTCCTACTCTTCATTCCCAACACATACTCTTCCCTGCACTGACGCATGTGGTTTTGGAGTAGAGATAGAAGAGAGAAATTTCTCCTTGGGAAAGTACCCATGATTAGGTATCTGTCTCTTTGTTTAGCTCGTGTTTGTAGGCCCAATGAGGAGGAGCAGAGAATGCAAGTGGCCCTGCACTCCAGCCTGGGTGACAAGAACTCTGTGTCACAAAAAACAAAAAAAAAAAGACAACAGAGTATAATGACATTGCTTCCCTGTGATAAACCCATGTTATATTTTACAAAACCCATGTCATATTTTACAAAAACACGTGATCAAAAATAGTCAATGGCCAATAAAGATAAAAATGCAGCAAAGAAACAAAACCTGGTGATGAACCCTGGAAGTGAAATTCTAATAGAACACAGGTGGAATTATAGAAGAAGTAGCTGATAATGAGAATGCTGCACTGCCGATGTCTGAAAAACTAGAAGTGCAGCCAGAGGAACTTGGTGAGGGTGTCCTTATAGATACAAATGAGGAATATGGCTATGACAAAAAAGATAATGGTGTCCTAGAGGAATCAATGCTGGCAAAAAAACTTCACTTTCAAGGAACTCAGAAATATTTCTTGACTGAAAGTGCAAATGAAAAATGAATGACCTGAGACACACTTAGGGCAGAGGATGACAATTCACTGATACATAGAAAAGATGCTCACACCATACCATACGCCATACTGTGAGAAGAAAATAACCAAAGTTCAAGTTACTCAATAAGTTTTTACAAAGAAATAGTTTTCTCAATTTCCTGTTTTAAATGAGAATGTAAAAATACATAGTAGTCTTATGAAGTTTTCCATTTCTCTATATATTTTAAATGATAGTAAGAATTTTTACTATTTGGATGAACATTTTAAAAGTGATGGAACTGTCACATTTGTCCCCTCTGAATATTAAAATTGCTTTGCGCAGTTTCAGCTTAAATTCAGTTTTCTGACTCTGCGCCACTGTGCAAAGCAAGAATTGCCTATGTTAATCTGATTTCTGTGTACCTAGAATAATACAACATATTGCCAAATTGTATTTTGTGAAGAGCAAGGTACTCAAGATTAATTTTACTTTTTATCTATGCCCTACACCGGAATGAGAAAGAGATAGACATGTTGGATAATTTTCTGAATACTTAGATGTATCTCACAAAAATATTTTTTATGGGATTATTTCGTACTTGCTCTATGTCCTACACTGTGCTGGCACATGTAAAGAAAACAAAAGCGTTTATTTACTTCAGTACCTTTATAAAAATAACCATAAATCGAAATGAGCACAAATGAAGCAACTAGAAAACAATTAAGTACTATATTATATTCATTTCTGATAAGGAGAGATTAATGTGATAACACAAGGCTTCCTGGGAAATTGTGCTAGAGCAGAGTGGACATTTGAGTTAAGAGATGAATCATGAGAAGGATTTAGAAAACAATTAGCAAATTTATGGTTGCATAAGTGCATGTAAATATTAAAAATCTCACTAAAAATAGACCTAATTTAAGAGGTGAATCATGAGAAGGATTTAGAAAACAATTAGAAAATTTATGGTTGCATAAGTGCATGTAAATATTAAAAATCTCACTACAAATAGACCTAATATAACATACATACTAATACGGTGGGAGAGAAAAAGAGAACACATAGCAATGTCAATTACCTCAACATTTATAGAGAGGGCCAGTCAACATAGTTAAAAATCACAGGCCAGGCGCGGTGGCTCACGCCTGTAATCCCAGCACTTTGGGAGGCCAAGGTGGGTGGATCACGAGGTCAGGAGATCGAGACCACCCTGGCTAACACAGTGAAACCCCGTCTCTACTAAAAATACAAAAAAAATTAGCCGGGCATTGTGGCTGGCGCCTGTAGTCCCAGCTACTCGGGAGGCTGAGGCAGGAGAATGGCATGAACTCGGGAGGCGGAGTTTGCAGTGAGCCGAGATGGCACCACTGCACTCCAGCATGGGCAACAGAGCGAAACTTAGTCTCAAAAAAAAAAAAAAAAAAAAAAAATCACAGTGCTAGGCTGGGCACGACGGCTCACGCCTGTAATCCCAGCACTTTGGGAGGCCAAGGTGGGCAGATCACCTGAGGCCGGGAGTTCAAGACAGCCTGATCAACGTGGAGAAACACCGTCTCTACTGAAAATACAAAATTAGCCGGGTGTGGTGGTGCATACCTGTAATCCCAGCTACTTGGGAGACTGAGGCAGGAGACTCGCTTGAACCCGGGAGGCAGAGGTTGTGGTGAGTCGAGATGGTGCCATTGTACTCCAGCCTGGGCAATGACAGTGAAACTCCGTCTCAAAAAAACAAAACAAAACAAAACAACAACAACAACAACAAAAACAGTGCTTTTTCTTTATTCTTCATCTTAGAGGATTTTTAAAAAAACTAATAACCCATGTTGCTTAAGAATATTTGCCTGAAAATTAGAAGTATATTCCTATTTACTCCCATTTCTTTTTCTTTTGCAAAATATAAAAAATTTAATAGAATTTAACTTAAAAGAGCTTATATGCTGTTAACACTTTCCTCTCAAATTATTCTTTTCTTCCCGTTTCTCTTTTCCTGTTCAATGTGTATGAATAGAGGAATATTTTCTATGATGTTCTGCAAATATTAAAGTTGGCTTTTAGTCTGTGACTGTTAAATTATCATTCTTTTGACTTGATATTTTTCTACAGCTTAATTACCAGTGTTTTATACAGGTCTTATTTTAATTTATTAAAACACACCGCTTAAAGTAATGTGTAATAAATATACTAATTCTGGGACACATGAGAAAATGTAAAAAGGTGAAGAAAGTCATGTATTCTATCATACAAAGACCTTGCAATTAATATTGTATGTTTACTGGATTTTTCCTATTTTTTCCCATTCATAGGAATTTCTGTATATACAGATTTGCTATTATTCTGTACATACATTTTTAATCATGTTTTCCTTTACCATAGCATTTATTTCATGTATGTATTTCTAACACAGTAAGACTTGAACTTTGAAATTACTCTTTGATCTATGGCCTGCAGAATGGATGTTGTGTTTGCAGGCATGAAAACAACATTAATCTTCTTATACATCTTCATCAGAGCTTTTATATGATTGAGTACATTGTCAATGAGCATTAACATTTTGAAAGGAATCTTTCTTTTCTAAGCAGCAGGTCTCAACAGTGACCTTAAAATATTCAGTAAACCATACTTTAAACAGGTGTGCTATCATTCATAACGCTATAGCTGCCTTGATGGATCTGAGCAAAGTATATTGAAAACCTTCTAGGAGAGACTCACCATTCTCTGCCACGAGAACTTTGTGATTCATGAAAGGAAATCACAATAGTATTAACAGGAGTTTGAAAGAAGTTGATTCCAACCCTCACACATGACATTGAGGGGCTCAAGACTTCAGTGGAGGAAGTTTAACTGGAATTGTGGTGGAAATAGCAAGAAAACTAGAACTAGAAGTGGAGCCTGAGATGTGACTGAGTTGCTGCAATCTCATGGTAAAACTTAAACAGATAAGGAGTTGTTTCCGAGGGATGAACAAAGAAAGTGATTTCTTAAGATGGAATATACTCCTGGTGAAGAAGCTATGAACATTGTTGAGATGACAACAAATGATTTCAAGTATACATAAACTTAGTTAATAAAGAAGCAGCTGGATTGGAGAAGATTGACTCCGATTTTCAAAGTGGTAAAATGGTATCAAATAGCATCACATGCTGTGGAGAAGTCTTTCATGAGAGTCAATCAATGGAGCAAACTTCATTGTTGTGTCATTTTCAGAATTTGCCACAGCCACCCCAAGTTTTAGCAACCACTACCCTGATCAGTCAGCATCCATTAACATCAAGGCCAGACCCTCCGCCGGCAAAAAGATTATGATTTGCTGAAGGCTCACGTAATTGTTAGCATTTTTTTTTAGTAATAAAGTGTTTTAAAATTAAGGTATGTACATTGTTTTTCAGCCATAATGCTATTGCACACTTAACAGACTAAAGTACATTGTAACTTAACTTTTTTATGCACTGGAAACCAAAAGCTTCATGTGACCTGCTTTACTGTGATACCTGCTTTATTGCGGTGGTCTGGAACAAAACCTGCAATACCTCTGTGGAATGCTGAGAAAATGAACAGAAATTTATTGGATCATGGTTCTTGAGGCTGAGAGGTGCAAGATTGAGGAACTGGCATTTGGTGAGGGCCTTCTTGTGACACATCATCCCATGAAGGAAAAGCCAAGAAAGAGCAAAAGAGGGAACAAGAGGGGTCTGAACTTGTCCTTTAATAAGGAAGCTGCTACCTCAATAATGAATCCACCTCCTCAATAATGGCATTAATCCATTGATGACGGCAGAGCCTTCATGGCCTAATCACCTCTTAAAGACCCCACTTTTTTTTTTTTTTTTTTTTTGAGATGGAGTTTCACTCTTGCTGCTCAGGTTGTAGTGCAATGGTGCCATCTCGGCTCACCACAGCCTCTGCTTCCAGGTTCAAGCAGTTCTCCTGCCTCAGCCTCCCAAGTAGCTGGGATTACAGTCATGCACCACCACACTGGGATATTTTTGTATTTTTTAGTAGAGACAGGGTTTCTCCACGTTGGTCAGGCTGGTCTCGAACTCCTGACCTCAAATGATCTGCCCACCTTGGCCTCCCAAAGTGCTGGAATTACAGGCGTGAGCCACCTTGCCTGAAGGCCCCACTTCTTAATACTGTTGCAAAGGTGATTAAGTTTCCAATCCATGCTATTTGGGGAACACATTCCAATCATACCATAGACTGAATTGTATCACCTCAAAATTCGTATATTGAAGTCTTAGCTCCCAGTACCTTAGAATGTAATTATATTTGGAGATAGAGACTTAAATAGGTAATAGGTTAAATGAGGTTATATTAATAGCTCTCATCTGATCTGACCAGTGTCCTTTTAAGAGGAGGAGGTTAGGACATTCAGAGAGACACCAAGGATGCAGGTGCAGGGAGGGACTGTGAAGAGGAAACAAGAGGCAGCCATCTGCAAGCCAAGGAGGGAAGCCTCAAGTAGAAATTTTATTTCACATGTCCATGGCATGGCTATATAATTTTTACAATAAAAAATCACAAATTAAGAAAGAATCAAATCAGACATGAGGCAAGAGTTCCTGCTATTAACATTTCTACTCAACTAGAAGTTGTACTTGATGTAGGACTTCTGGCCTGTGAGAAAGTACATATCTGTTGTTTAAACCACTAAATCTATGGTATTTTTTCATGGCAATCCTAGCCAACCAGGAAAAGTCAAGTATAGCATATGTTCATGAAAATGTTTATGGTTCCATGTGGATTTCAGAGTAGGTTTTTCTAATTATGTGAAGAATGTCAGTGGTAGTTAAATGGGAATAGCATATGATCTACAAATTACTTTGGGCAATATGGGCATTTTTATGTTGTTGATTCTTCCTATCCTTGAGCATGGCAAGTTTTTCTATTTCTTTGTGTCCTCTTCTATTTCCTTGAGCAGTGGCGTGTAGTTCTCCTTGAATAGGTCCTTTACTTTCCTAGTTCTCTTTGAAGAGGTCCTTCACTTTCCTTGTTAGCTGTATTCCTAGGTATTGTATTCTCTTTGTAGCAATTGTAAATGGGCATTCATTCATGATTTGGCTCTCTGCTTGTCTATTGCTAGTGTATGGAATGCTTGTGATTTCTGGGCACTGATTTTGTATCCTGAGACTTTGCTGAAGTTGCTCATCAGCTTTAGAAGCTTTTAGGCTGAGACTATGGTGTTTTCCACATATAGGACCATATCATCTGCAAACAGAGACAGTTTGACTTCCTCTCTTCTTATTTGAATACGCTTTATTTCTTTCTCTTGCATGATAGGCCTGGCCAGAACTTCCAAAACTATGTTGAAAAAGAGCCAATATAGCCAAGATGATCCTAAGCAAAAAGAACAAAGCTGGAGGCATTATGCTGTCTGACTTCAAATTATACTACAAGGTATAGTAACCAAAACAGCATGGTACTGGTACAAAACAGACACAGAGACCAATGGAACAGAATAGACATCTGAGAAATAAGAACACATATCTACAACCATCTGATCTTTGACAAACCTTACAAAAATAAGCAACGGGAAAAGGATTCCTTAACTAATATATGGTGCTGTGAAAACTGGCTAGCCATATACAGAAAATTGAAACTCAAACCCTTCCTTTCATCTTACACAAAAATTAACTCAAGATGGATTAAAAGCTGAAATGTAAAACCCAAAACTATAAAAACCCTAGAAGAAAATCTAGGCAATACCATTTGGAACATAGGCACGGGCAAAAATATCATGACAAAAACATCAAAAGCAATTACAACAAAAGCAAAAATTGACAAATGGGATCTAATTAAACTAGAGAGCTTCTTCACAGCAAAAGAAACTATCATCAGAGTAAACAGACAACCTACAGAATGGGAGAAAATTTTTGCAATCTACCCATCTGACAAAGGTCTAATACCCAAAATCTACAAAGAACTTAAACAAATATACAAGAAAAAAATCAAACAACCCCATTAAAAAGCAGGCAAAGGACATGAACACATACTTCTCAGAAGAAGACATTTATGAGGCCAACAAACATATGAACAAAAGTTCAACATCACTAATTATTAGAGAAATGCAAATCAAAACCAAAATGAGATAGCATCTCATGCCAGTCACAATGATGGTTATTAAAAAGTCAAGAAACAACAGTTGCTGGCGAGGCTGTGGAGAAATAGGAATGCTTTTACACTATCGGTGGGAATGTAAATTAGTTCTACCACTGTGGAAGACAGTGTGGCAATTCCTCAAAGACCTAGAAACAGAAATACCATTTTACCCATGAATCCCATTACTAGGTATATACCCAAAGGAGTATAAATCATTCTGTTATAAAGATACATGCACACATATGTTCTTTGCAGCACTATTCACAATAGCAAAGACATAGAACCAACACAAATACCCATCTGTAATAGCCTGGATAAAGAAAATGTGGTAGGGATATATATATCATGGAATACTATGCAGCCATAAAAAGGAATGAGATCATGTCCTTTTCAGGGACATGGATGGTGCTGGAAGCCATTGTCCTCAGCAAACTAACACAGGAACAGAAAACCAAACATTGCATGTTCTCACTTATGAGTGGGAGTTCAACAATGAGAACACATGAACACACAGAGGCGAACAACACACATTGGGGCCTCTTGGCGGGAGTTGGGGGAGAGAGAGCACCAGGATAAATAGCTAATGCATGTGAGCCTTAGTAGCTAGATGATGGGCTGATGGGGCAGCAAACTACCATGGCACACGTATACTTATGTAAAAACCCTGCACATCCTGTACATGTATCCCAGAACTTAAAAAAGAATAAAATTTTAAAAAGGCCAGGCATGGTAACTCACCCCTGTCATCCCAGCACTTTGGGAGGCTGAGGCAGGTGTATGACTTGAGGCCCGGACTTTGAGACCAGCCTGGCCCACATGGTCTTTTAGTAGAAACCCCGTCTCTACTAAAAATACAAAAGTTAGCTGGGCATGGTGGTGCATGTCTGTAATCCAGCTAATCAAGAGGCTGAGGCAGGAGAATCGCTTGAACCTGGGAGGCAGAGTTTGCAGTGAGCCAAGATCGTGCCACTGCACTCTAGCCTGGGCAACAGAACGAGACTGTGTCAAAAACATAAAATTACTTAATTAAATTAAATTTTTAAAAAAGAAAATTTCTATAGATCTTTTACTGGTTTGTGTAGTGTTATGGAGCCTAGTTGGAAAATAGTCAAGAAAGAGGAAAGCAAGAAAAAAACAGCAGGAAAGCAAGGACATAATCTATTCAATACCATCACATGTAGAATTCTTTGACAGCTTATATGAAAACACTATATGTGTATACACAAATATATTTCTCACTATAATTATTATTATTTGTTTTTTGAGACAGAGTCTCACTCTGTTGCCCAGGCTGGAGTGCAGTACACAATCTTGGCTCACTGAAAGCTCTGCCTCCCTGGTTCACGCCATTCTCCTACCTCAGCCTCCCAAGTAGCTGGGACTACAGCCACCCGCCACCTCACTTGGCTAATTTTTTGTATTTTTAGTAGAGACGGGATTTCACCATGTTAGCCAGGATGGTCTCAATCTCCTGACCTCGTGATCTGCCTGCCTCAGCCTCCCAAAGTGCTGGGATTACAGGCGTGAGCACACTATAATTATATTTTATAACCTATACCTGTACAATGTGAAAAGTGAGGCAATTATCCTAGTTAGTTGATTGCAAGTAATTATTAGCAGTATTAACTATCTCTACACTAAGTGTTTGATATTAGGTTATAGGCAAAGTTTCTTGAGACTCTATCCTAGAAAACTGTAAAAAAGAAATGGACATAAAGGTACACCATTTAACCTCATAGACAACTAAATGGAATTTGGTCAATGGAATTGAGGCAGGAGAATAGGGTCTGGAGTCAGGGAACCTAAGGTCGATTCATGCTGACTTCCCAGAACTAAATCAAAAGAAACTCCCCAACTTTCCACACCTAAGTAACAAAAGGACTGAAGACTACTTCCTTTGCAACCCACCCTTTCTTTTGATGAGTGTCAGATGGAAAATCGTAAGTACCTCTGATGGGTTGCTTTCCACAACCAATCACATTGATTGCAATCCAACTCTTCGTGTGCATAGAAGTGTAACTTTGTAACTTCACTTTAGCCTCTGATTGGCTGCCTTCCACAACAAATCAGATGTTTGCATAGGGTGTAACCTTTGTAACTTCACTTCAGCCTGTCATTGGTTGTGAAAAACTTTCTGCCAACAATCAGACTGATGGTGGGCCACTACTTCATTTGCATGGGGTGTACACCAAGTGGCCAATAGGAAACCTCTAGAGGGTATTTAAACCCCAGAAAATTCTGTAACCAGGCTCTTGAGCCCCTATGCTCGGGCCTGCTCCCACCCTGTGGAGGGTACTTTTGTTTTCAATAAATCTCTGCTTTTGTTGCTTCATTCTTTCCCAGCTTTGTTTGTGCATTTGGTCCAATTCTTTGTTCAAAACACCAAGAAGCTGGACACCCACCCCTGGTAACAGAATTGAAATATTCTAATTCTTGAGCACGATGTAGAATAAATTCCTTTGTAAATCACGTTTAAGAAATATAAGTGAGCCCTCTCTTAAACCTTAATATCTGAGAATTTACTGACTTTGGTAATGTAGCTACTATGTTCTTAGAAAAAATTACATTAGTTGATAAATAAAAAGACCAAAAGTATGTTAAAGTCAGCACATCCTTTAAACCTCTGAACTATACAAAAAGGATAAAGTATAATAGAACGCAGAGGAATAGAACACATTAAGAAAAAAGACATACATACTGGGTGATTAAATGTATTTATGATGAATTCGTGTAGCTATTTTTTCATCCTACTCAGGGTTCACATTGGATTAGACATTACTTGGTTTTAAAAATTCTTTAAACGGATTCTTCTCTTACATAACAGCATAAAACCTATTTGAAAATATTACACAATTAGTTATTCTTTGGGTACAGGCTGCACTTTATTGGTTAAAAAAGTTCACGTTATTCAGAATGAAATTTCTAAGTAGGAGCAAACAAGGAATAATTTTAAAGATATCTTTCAAAGCTTGATGTACAGAAAGCCAAAAAGAAGACCCTCATTATGTTGTTAAAATTCCAGAAGTCCTGTTCTATTGAGCTCTAAATGTACATCATACTGAGTTATTCTTGTTGGAACAATCTAATTTGAAAGAAATATATTCTGGAATCACTTAAATCTATCAGAGGAAGAGAATTAGTGCAACTATATCATCTAGACTTTCAGAGTGCCTACATCCTATTAATGCCAAGTACTTTTATAAAATGCAAACTAGTTCCTTCCCTTTACTCTGTATTTATGTTAATGTGTACAATTTAAACTAAGACAACAACACACTTAAGCCAATAATCTTCATGTAAAACCAAAATGATTATGTAAAAAACAGCTACTGTAATGGCATATATCCCAAACTATTCTAGAGCTCCAGTTTTCCAGTTGATTTACTTATACTTTTTCTTTCAACTCTATAGAAGTGACAGCATCTGTACAGGGTTAAACAATTTCTGATCTCAATGTTTATCTAGGGGAATTTAAAAATCTCTTTGGAAATTTGGCTAAGAGACTGAGAGATAAACAGAAAACTGAAAGATGGGAAGAATAATACTGGTAATAATTAGCTGGATCTAAAAATGAGACTACTTAAAAAGATCTCTAATACTGCCCTAACTGTATAAGCATCACACAAAGGGGATAGGGATGCAGTGTAGAAAATTAACACTATCCCTGAGACAGGCTAATTTGGGCTCTGGTGTTATCTCTGTCCTTTGCCACTTCTATAACTTCAGGCAAGTTTCTCTATGTCTCTAGGATCATCAAAAAAATGGATTTAATAACCATATATACCTCTTTGGAATGTTGACGACTAAATAGGATAGTTTAAGACTTTAGGTGTAGCATGGTGCCTCAGAGCATAATAACTGCTCAATAATATTAGCTGTTATTATCATGTAGCAGCAAACTGTGTATAAAGGGGGCGCCTATAAATATTGTAGTTGAATTATAGCAATTGGCCATCGTCAAAACATTTGGAAAGGTAATATCAAAAAAAAGGAAATGAATCTTTTCATCTGCAAGTGTCACAGAAGGGACATGACTTCAATATAAATAAGAAATTGCTTTAATTAGCCAAGTAATTTAAATACTATGATAATGCTGGTTGTTAGGAGGCTAGTACAGACGGTCAGGGTTGGGATGGGTTGTGTGTGGATATGAAGGAGCAATGTGAGAAGTGGGACTGTGAAATAAACACCAACTTCTAAACTTTCAATATTTCCTGGCTATTTCACTTATTTTTGTAATGTATTCTTTTATTTCTTTGGACATTCAAATTTAAGTTTTTTTAAGAGAAAACAAATATACGTATTAACTTGTTAAAAAGTGTGATCCAAATCCCCCAACTGTAAAATGATGCATTGTCTTTACTGAATTTTCTCAATAATGTAAATTCCAGGATGCATGTGGCTTTTCTTATACCCATTCCATTTGCTACACCTAGTGAGATTTAATTACTGTGTCAGCAATCTACTTTATTGTTGCAGGAAGTCAGGGACTCTGAACGGAGGGACCAACTGGAGCTGCAGCAGAGGAACATAAATTGTGAAGATTTCATGGACATTCACCAGTTTCCAAATAATACTCTTATAATTTCTTACACCTGTCTTAATTTAATCTCTTAATCCTGTTATCTTTGTAAGCTGAGGATGTACATCACCTCAGGACCACTGTGATAATTGTGTTAACTGTACAAATTGATTGTAAAACATGTGTGTTTGAACAATATGAAATCAGTTCACCTTGAAAAAGAACAGAATAACAGCGATTTTCAGGGAACAAGGGAAGACAACCATAAGGTCTGACTGCCTGTGAGGTCGGGCAAAACAGAGCCATATTTTTCTTCGTGCAGACAGCCTATAAATGGACGTGTAAGTAGGGAAGATATTGATAAATTCTTTTCCTAGCAAGGAGTATTAATAATTAATACCGTGGGGAAGAATGCATTCCTGGCGGGAGGTCTATAAACAGTTGCTCTGGGAGTGCCGGTCTTAAGTGGTTGAGATAAGGACCAAAATACGCCCTGGTCTCCTGCAGTACCCTCAGGCTTACTAGGTTGGAGAAAAACCTCGCCCTGGTAAATTTGACATCAGATTGGTTCTCTGCTCTCAAACCCTGTTTTCTGTTGTTTAAGATGTTTATCAAGACAATATGTGCACAGCTGAACACAGACCCTTATCAGTAGTTCTGTTTTGCCTTGTCCTGTTTCCTCAGAAGCATGTGATCTTTGTTCTGCTTTTTGCCCTTTGAAGCATGTGATCTTGTGACCCACTCCCTGTACTTGCACCCCCTCCCATTTTGAAGTCCTTAATAAAACTTGCTGGTTTTGCGGCTCAGGTGGGTAGCACGGTCCTGCCGATATATGATGTCACCCCCGGAGTCCCAGCTGTAAAATTCCTCTCTTTGTACTCTTTCTCTTCATTTCTCAGCCAGCCGACACTTATGGAAAATAGAACCTACGTTGAAATAGTGGGGGTGGGTTCCCCCAATACTTTATGAACATGTAACTGCAAACCAATGCTTTGAGTGACAATGGAACAAGACTTCAAGTTGAAGAGCAAATTCAGATAAAGCCAAGTTTTTTCTATAGTATTTCATAGGAAAGTGACATGTATTCTACTAGCAAGGACAGGGTATGGGATGAAACATTTCCTTTCAGAAGAATTGAAATTTTTTTGTTGCAGTGTTGTAAACACACAAGGTTGTACCCCTTATAATAATCATATAATACTTTAATTATTTACCAGTTATGCTAGAAAGCTTGCAAATACCACATCTTCCAAATATAATATTGACAACTCACCATGGTGAAAATGGGTGCTAAGTCAGAAATAAGTTAATATTCTTTTGCTGAGCACATACTATATTAGCACTTATTTGGGGAAACTAAAAAGAATGAGAAACACAGGCCCAAGTTGAGATATTTTCCATCCAACTTCATGAAGGCAGCATATATTGTTAAGGATTCTGGGTTAGGCTTTGAATCCTACTTCTATAATTTGCTGGTTAGAAAACTTTAGGCAGGGTGCATAACCTCACTGAGAGTCTATTTACTTAGCTGTAAAATGACCAAGATATTATCAACTTCTGTATGTGGAGCTGTGGAGATGATCAGTCAGTATATTCCACCATAAACATAGTCATTCTCTTTATGTCCACAAAGCATTTGCCATTTAATGGCATAAAATATTTGAAAATATTTCTACACCATAATGGATTTGATCTTGTCACAAGTAAAATGTAAATTATCGGCACCATATGAAATAAAACATTTATAATTAACCTGGTTTCTAGTGCAAGACTGGGGAGTCTTGGGCAAACTATGTTCTTATAATGGCCCTAATACCATCCTCAACATAGTGAAATGAGCTGTGTTTCAGAAGAAAAACTTACCCACTTTGATGTCCCACTCTGAACTAAAAGCTTGGATTTGGTGAATACTTACAGAAGAAATTGAGGTGACCAGAGAGGTTTTTAAACTGCTTTGAACATAATTTTCCCTCTAATGGAAGAAACGGCCAGAGATAAAACTCAGACCTTCAAAAGTCACCTGCAAAATGATTTACTTATAGCAATGGCATAAATTATCTAATTATAATATAGAAATTTTACTTTAACTTTCTAGATAGAAAAGTTTCAGAAATTTCTTTTATGTTCATTTCTGTGGTCCACTGTCTAGTCTGAAAGTCTGCCAGAATCTCTCAGGCTTTTAAATTACAGAAATTATTTGAGACAGACATTTTGGAAGCTCACCATAGAAAGGGAAATTTATTAAGTTTTAGGCATTAAGTTAAGACTTGTATTTTACTTTCTCTATATATTTGAAACAGGTCAATTCCAGGTTGGAAAATTCCTGTCAGATATTCCCATTACAAAATATACCTAAAAAGTTTTCTCAAAGCTAAGGATTATTTATGTCACATATATTTTTGAAAAATTAGAAATATTTTGGTTATGTTACTTACACAGTTTAGCCTATTTTAATCATTTTTTTTCTTGTGCACATAACCAGGTGAAGCACTGAAATTCATCAATTATGTTATTCAACTATGATGTTAAATCATTAGAACTGGGGGCCAGGTGTGGCAGCTCATGCCTGTAATCCTAGCACTTTGGGAGGCAGGGGTCGGTGGATCACCTGAGGTCAGGAGTTCGAGACCAGCCTGGCCAACGTGGCAAAACCCTGTCTCTACTTAAAATACAAAAATTAGCTGGACGTGTTGGTGAGCACCTGCAATCCCAGCTACTTGGGAGGGTGAGGCGGGAGAATAGCTTTAACCTGGAGGGCGGAGGTTGCAGTGAGCTGAGATCACACGATTGTTCTCCAGCCTGGGTGAAAACAGCGAAACTCCATCTCAAAAAAAAAAAAAAATCAGAACTGGAAAGAAATTTCCGTTATAAGTAAATTTATAACACTATGATTCATAAAGTCTTTCATGTGAATGTTCATTCTCTTCCTAAAAATTTAAGTTAATTTAAGAAATCTCATTTTAGAGATGAAGAAAAAGTTTTATTAGTATTAAGATATTTACTTCTTCCAAGAACAATTAATAGAATAAATCTTCACTTAACATCCTCAATAGGTCCTTGGAGACTGCAGCTCTAAGTGAAAAGATGTATAACAAAACCAATTTTACAAAAAATAATTTATATTAACAAGAGTGAAGTTTCTAAGGCATATTTCTGGTCACAAGAACATCACCAAATTTCTTAAGATGAAATCACTTCCACTACTAAACACTGAAATAAACATGAGCTATACAGACATTTAAGAAAGATAAATCAAAGGAAGTAAGACGATGATTTACCAAGTTTTGGTGAATCAATGAGCAGAGGTTGTAGTGCTGGGGAATTAAATCAAAGAAATGTTTGCACCTCCTCTGACCACACAGTTAGTAAACAGGTAATTACAAAGAAGGGAGTTTGCAGAGCACTTTTTTACTGCATCCTTTATTGTCTTGCATTTTTATGATTATCATCTACTTGATGAAATTTTGACCATAATTTTTATTCATTCATTCATTCATTCATTCATTTTCCCACTCACTTATTGCAGGGTTGAGGGTGGCTGCAGCCTGTCCCCTCAGCTCAGGGCACAAGGCAGGAACCAGCCCTGGCCAGGCCACCGTCCTATCACAGAGCCACTCACACCCACACTCACTGGGACCATGTAGACACAGCAATTTCCTGAATCTTTGGGACATGACAGAAAACCAGAGGAACTGGAGAAAATCCACCTAGACAGTGGGAGAAAATGCCAACTCCACTGAGACAGTGGCTTTGGCAGGAAGGGATTGTTTTTCTCATCTGTTTTAATGAAAGGACTTTGAATGGAAGGAATTTATTTGGGGACCTGCTGTGTACTACTTTTAAAATACACTTTATTCTTCATGGTTTATAGAAAAATTGGGCAGAAAGTACAAGAATTCCCATATACCTCCTGTCCCGACACATACTCAAACTTCTCTACTATCAACATCACACATCAGAATGGTACATATGTTATAATCCATGAGCCTACATTGACATGTCATTATCAACCAAAGCCCATAATTTATATTAGGGTTACATTACTAACCCACATTTTTAATGGACTTAATGACAATGTATAAGGAAGGCATCCACTATTATATCATGAACGTTAGTTGTATTGCCCTAAAAACCTCTTTGTTCCACCTATTCATCTTTCCCTCCTTGAACCCTTGGCAACCAATGCTTTTTTTTTTTTTTTTTGAGACAGGGTCTTTCTCTGTTGCCCAGGCTGGAGTGTAGTGGTGCAACCTCTGCCTCCTGGGCTCAAGCAATCTTTTCACCTCAGATTCCCAAGTAACTGGGACTACAGGCACGCACTACCATGCCTAGGCTAATTTTTAGCTTTTTTTTTTTGTTAATTTTTTTTGTAGGGACGAGGTTTTCCTATGTTTCCCAGGCTGGTCTTGAACTGCTGGGCTCAAGCGATCTTCCTTCCTTAGCCTTCCAAAGTACTGGGATTACAGGCGTAAGCCACCTCACCCAGCCTCCACTGATCTCTTTACTGTCTTCATAATTTTTCCTTTTCTAGAATGTCATATAGTTGGAATCATATAGTGTAGAGTCTTTTCAGACTGGCTTCTTTCACTTAGTAACATACACTTATGTTTCTTCCCTGTCTTTTCATGGCTTCATAGCTCATTTATTTTTAACACTGTGAAATATTCCATTATCTGGATGTACCACAGTTTATCCATTCATCCACTGAAGGACATCTTGGTTCTTCCAAGTATTGGAAATTGTGAATACAGTTGCTATAAACATCTGTGTGCAGGTTTTTCTATGGACGTAAGTTTTCAATTCATTTGGGTAAATACCAAGGAGCATAACTGTTGAATCACATGGTAAGAATATGTTTAATTTTAAAAGAAACTGCCAAACAGTTCTCCAAATTACCTGCACCATTTTTGTATTCCCACCAGCAATGAAAGAACTTCTGTTGTTCCATACTCTCCAGCATTTAGTGTTAGTGATTTGGATTTTGGCCATTCTAATGGCTTTGCAGTGGCATCTTTTGTCTTAATTTGCATTTTTCATGATGACATGTGATATAGAACCTATTTTCATACGTTTATTTGCCATCTGTATATCTTCGGTGATGTGTCCATTCAGATCTTCGGCCCATTTTTAATGGATTTGATTTCTTATTGTTGAAATTAAAGAGTTCTTTGTATATTTTGGATAACAGTCCTTTATCAGATGTGTCTTTTGCAAATATTTTTCCTAGTCAGTGACTTGTCTTCTCATTCTCTAGACAGTGTCTTTCACAGAGAAGAAGTTTAATTTTAATGAAATCCAGCTTATCAATGATTTCTTTCATAAATCATGCTTTGGTGGTTCAAATTGCTTCATTATCGCTTGAGAAGCTCATTATCTCCAGGGAATTTTATTACCAGCCTTCTCGTTTTTATTCTGACTTTCCCCTCTGCGTTCTGAGAGAATTTGTGTGGCATGCCTTTACCTTCATTAATTCTCTTCAGGGTCAAATCTTCTCTTCATCTGCCTCCCTCATTATTTTTAAGTCAGCACCTGGGTTTTTTTTTTTAATCTGTCTGCACTCTTAACTCAGATTATTCCTTTTTATTAGAGTCTCATGGAAAATATTTTAATATATTTCTAAAACAGAAAGATATTTGGTAAATATTTCTTAATTTATATATTCAAGACAGAGAGGAATCCCTTGAATCTCCTGAAAGCATCACTTCTAATATAAAGAATGTTTTCATATCTGTTGTGATTTTTCTCTGCTTCTGTATTCCTTTCTAGAAGTCTCTAGCCTGGCCTAGAAAGGTTTTATAGTCTGGCAAGAATTGAATGAGTTAAAACCAAGATGATTATTACTAAAGCCCCAAATGTTTATTAGAGGGGGGCATCAGATCTAAATTTAAGGGTAAAAAACAAAGAATATCTAGTAATGTATAACTCATGCTAATTTGACAGAGTGAAGAGGGAAACAGACATCTAATCACTGGTAGACCCATGATCAGGAATCATGTCTCTGCATAAGCAGAGATGGTACCCTTAGGGAGAGGCTCATGGCTATGTTGAATGTGTCCATCATGAAGCCATTCACACTTCATCCATCTGCCTCAGTGTTCTTGTCCAAAGAGGACTGGAGTAGTGAAATGAACACTCTTGACTAGCCGTTCAACACCCAGTGGGCTTCTATTTCTTAGAAAACGCAATTTTTTCCTCTCACATTAAGCAGCTGTCTGTGGGATTCCACCAGGGCATCTGTCCTCTTTGCTTCAGGAAAAAACCAAAACCAACCAACCAAACGAAATTCCGTTTCTCTCAGGATGATAATTATATGATACTCTTCAATTCTGCTTTTCAGGAGAGACTCATCAAGAATACATTTAGCAGAAATACTTTAGAGCTCTAAGATGTACCTGATACTCATTCTCTTTTTAATTACTAATCAGTATTTTACCTATTTATATATTGTTTTCTATTTCATAGTACATTCCTTTGCTGACACTACCATCTTGCCAATAAATCCAGATTTTAACTAGTTTTTAAAATTTGTATAACATAAAGTTAAATGCTTATTTTATGGGAGAGTTATATTGTTGAATTCTAAGTAGAATATTAGAGAAAGGTATTGTGGATAAAAAACTTTAGGTTAGAAGCATACGTAGAAAAGATATTGTGTCCTTAAAAGCAGAGAGATAAATAAAAAGAAAGACAGAGAACAAACGTAATTCAAGATGACTGATTACATATCCAAGAACATTAGATGGTCAAAGACTTTAAGAAGGAATACATTCAAAGGCAAAAAGTCACTTACTGATTTTGGTGGAGTTTGCCACATGGACAGCAGTTTCCAATAGAAACCAAATCAGTGTTTTCCCAAGGCGCAAATGAGAAAAGGCTTTACTCTTTCAGGACTAATATTATTGTCATCTCCCAATGAAACTGGCAGTTCAGAATAAGATCAATTAGTGCAAATAACTACAATCACAAGGCTTAGAAATTAGAAGTGTCCTAGCCCACAGCAGAATTATACTCTAAGGCAGTATGTATAATTTACTGCAATTGATTCTGTTTATAATCTTTTCACTCAAATTCCCACACACCATGTTTCAGATATAGTTTTTGACTTAGTGAGTTCAAGATGTAGGAGGATTATTGTGAGAGAAGATAGAGAAAAGCTCAGACACACTTTTTTTTTTTTTTTTTTTGGCTAAAGAACTTTCCTATTTAATACCACTGAATGACAGTAGATAATGAACCCCAAGTAGAATAGCACCGTAGTGCACGTACTTGTTGACTACCCTTAAAACACCCTAACAGTGTTGTCTTTTAATCACAGGTTTTAGTAATTTTAATAACATTTATGCCTCCTTTCTGAATCCTTCCCAAATAGGCCAAGCTCTTAAACTGTAAGCGAAGACTGTACACTTATCTCGATTTGTCCTTAGCTATATGCAATGAGATCAACTCTCAAATATCAGTGAAATGACATCAAAAGAAGGGTAAAGTCATGAATTTAAATACTGTACTCAGGAACTAATTCCATTATGCTAAAGGAAAGAAATCTTTTACATAAAAGGACGAAAGAAACAATATTCAATTATCAATGGCCCTCTGAGTGAGCAATTAACAGTGGAACAACTGACAATCATACTCTCCATCACAACATGGAGATGTACATGCCCATGGAGGAAAATCAGAAAAAGAAAAAACTGAATTATACTAAGATGACTTGATTTTTAAAAGCAAAACAATAGCAACAACAAAAACAGGAATTAAAGAAAATCTCAAAGAACCTTTTCCTTAATCTACTGTTCAGACAAATGCAAAAGATTATTTGAGACATTCTCTAAGTTGGATAGCTACTATATGACTTAAGACAAGACTGAATGTCTCCTAACTCAAATATTAAGGATAAAAACCATTTTAAGATCCTTACAAGCTTAATTATAAATGCTTTATTAAATTTAACTTTAAAAATAAGCTAAGAACTATTTCTAATTTTATATAAGCATTTTTTTCCTACATTGGGCACTCATCTTTGACTTTAAAATTAGGTTTTTACAATTTCAAAATACCAGATTAACTTACATTAGGTTCTAAGGTATAGAAAGTCATGTAATTGCTTTGAGTATTAAGGTTCTGTGCAATAATTAAAAAATAACTGCTTCAGTGCCAAAGAAATTCACAAGGTAATTTTCCAGTGATTTCCTCTTGATGTAGAATTCTTAGATGTATTGAAATTGTTCCAAAGAAATGTGTCTGCTACAGTTAGGCCCTGGCAGAAAAGATGCTGCCTTTAGGAGAAAAACAACCTTTAACATACATGTTTCAAAATAATAGTGAGGTCATTACAGTTTGTTTCAGTAAAAATAATCTAGCACAATCTGACTACTTATAACATAAAGCATTGTTCCCAGGAAGAAAAAGCGGGATATATTGAGTTTAAAAATTCGGAAGTTCCCTCAGACAAAAATGTTGAATTTGAGTTTTAACATTTGAATTTGAGTTTCAAACACTTGGATTAAATTAATTTCAATGTTTATTCCCTGAGTATATCACGATGAACTAGGGACCGCTAAGTTGATTGTGACAGAAAATGAGGAAATGCCTGTTGACTTTGAAGACACCTTGAACCTAAAGTAGACTCGAGAGAAAAATCAACCAAGTCAGCAACTAAGTCATTTAAGAGAAAAAGATAGGGTTGCACTGCAGAGAAGTAACTAATTCATAAAGTACCTTTATGTTTGATGTTTAATTCCAAAATGCTATGGGTTATTTTAAGCATCTTTTGATGAAAGGTGTTTGCAGATAAAAGTTTTACAGGAACTTGTCTTCCTCATCTGAAAATTAAGCCTTTTATAATTCAGTATGGGAAATAGTAAATGCAGTTTTATGGAGCAAAACTTTGATCACATTTTATTAAATATAAGGTGTATTTTTAAAAAGCATTTTAACATCTCAAATCAATTTGCATTTTTTAAAATCAATAATGTTTGTTGATCATTGTTGGTATAGACTGAGATCATTTTAAGTGAAAATTTCTTCATGAGATTGTGGACCACATTGGTGGTTTGAATTCAGAATACAAATCTGCTGGTGGTTCAAAATCTTTTTTAACCTCTCCCTACTTTGTGCTAAATTTGAGACATGTAAGTTTCCCTGCTGTTTTCCACATGGCAGTTACATTTACTTCTATCCTTACACTAAGAGTGTAGTCTTATTGTGTCCCATGTTGGGCATTTTTGCTTTTAGAGAGTTACACAAAATAATGATACATTTGGCAATGGAAAATTTCTTAAATTCTCTCTAAAGCAGACATTTGTATTAGAAGTCTTTGACCAGGCACAGTGGCTCATGCCTGTAATCCCAGCAATTTGGGAGCCAAGGCAGGTGGATCACGAGGTCAGGAGTTCAAGACCATCCTGGCCAACATAGTGAAACTCTGTCTCTACTAAAAATACAAAAATTAGCTGGGCATGGTGGCAGGTGCCTGTAATCCCACCTACTTGGGAGGCTGAGGCAAGAGAATCGCTTGAACCTGGGAGGAAGAGGTTGCAGTGAGCCAAGATCACACCATTGCACTCCAGCCTGGGAGACAGAGCAAGACTCCATCTCAAACAAAAAAAAAGTCTTCAAGGATTCCAAGAAGTTATCAGTCATGACCATGTTTTGGACAGGAAAGAAGAGCCATTATGTGCCTCACAAAGGTGTGGTCTCTCAGGCATTAGACACTGGCTGTAAATAAATGATACATCAATTTGCTTTACAGACAGTAAAAGTTTTAACAGTATCATACATTTTGGTTAAAAATTAAAGTCCCATATCTCCAACTGAAAAATTAAAGCTAACTGATATACTGAGGTAACTTAAAGTTTATTAGATATAAAAGACTGATATATTAGGATGATACAACATATCTAAATATTGAATAACTTTATTTTAACACATATATTTGTTTCAGGTGTCAAACAGATCACTAGATAGAAAGCATCATGAAAGCAAAGGTTTTTCTCTGCACTGTTTCCTATTATGCCTAGATTCACAACATTGCTTGGCACATAATAGGGATCCAAGAAATATTTGTTGAATCCATGAATGAATGGAGTTGCATCCAGTCATGCACAGCTATTTATATGTGTATAACCATATGGTTATTCCTGAATTATCAAGTGCTCAGGGCTTGGATTCATCCTTGTTTCATTCTTGGAGTAATTTAATAAGACTACCAACCAGTAAGCAGAACCATCCAGCTGGCAGTCATTAGTCACTCGCTATTTGCTCTATTGAAACACACTCTAGTTAAACAGACTCTGGATCTTACCTGGAAGAATCAGTTATCATGGTAACCAGTAAACCATTTTGGCTAATTTGCCATGCTCCAGTTGACTAGACTCACTATGGCTTGATTAAGTCTGAGGCTGTTAGAGTACAGTTTGATAGACTCTTACTAAATAACATCTTACAGGCACTTTAGGAATCTTTTTCCTAAGTCCAAAAGTTTCTTCATCTGTAAAACTGTAGTCAAGGAATGCTGCTAAAGAAATGTGCAAGCGCACTAATGATCAAATAGGCAAGTAAACCTCTATGGGAAGGAAATAAGAACATTATATGTATGGTTTTGGAAAGATGTGATGTTACAGCATATTCTGGGGTACTCAGAAATGAGTATAAATTGCTTGGCTATAGTAGTGTAATCATCCTGGTTGTAGAGAAGCGACGAACTGATGACAGAAGGTAAGCCAAGCTGTATGAGTTTTCCCTTTATATTCTCTTTAATGCAGGTGAATGAAAAAGATAATTTAACTTAATGGTGCCTTGCAGCACTAATTATTTGGTAATAATCAAAAGGCTTCATGATCTGAAAAAGTTGTTTCAGTACAGCCCATTAAACAATATGAAGAGCCACTAGACCATTCTATTACCTTCCTGCCACTCAGGTATTCATTTGCCAGATGCTTTCTCATTAAGAGCACATAAAATGAGAATAGCATAAACTGCACAATCAGGTGAGTTTATTAGGTCCAATTATGACACCGGTAATAAACATTATCTTTTAAAAATAATTTTGACCACAACATAATAATTTTCCCATGTTTATGTTGAGACTATTCTATGCCACTAGAAAAAATTCCTCTGATTTTAATTTATGATGTGATTCATAGTGATGACGGACTCCTCTAATTTAGCCTAGCTAAAATAACAGCATATATTTTTATTCTTCCCAATACGTATAAAGTTATTTAAAATTCATGCTAAGTAATTTGTAGTAAATCAGTCTCCTGATGGAAAATTTTACTCTGCAATTACTCAGTTGCAAACTTATGTTTTTACGGATCAAAACAGGAGTCTTCTAAATGTCTGTAAACCAGAAAAACAGAGAGAGAGACACAGAGAGGCAAAAGAAGAAAAAAAGGAGAAGGTAGAGGAAGAGGAAAAGGGGAGGAAGATGAGGAGGAGGAGAAACAGAAAATAAAGAGAAGAGAACAAAATAAAGAATTGAAGCCATTGCCCAAATACATTCTTTTTATTTTCTCCCTTTACTAACAGTTTACACCTGAAAAATTGGTTTTGAACTTGTTCTACACTTGCTATAAAAGAGTAAATTCTCTTTCCCTTGGCTTCTCTGGCCAAGGGAATTGGTGGCTCAGAATTATTATTAAGAGAATAGCATCCTTTCTGCTCACTGTTGGAAGTTATTTCTGAAGCAAAAGCTTTAACAGCTCTGTACTGGTGCAAAAGTAAATTGTCAGACTGGAAAACAGATATCAGTACCACCACATAGGAGTATAATAGACTAAATTTTAAGAATTAAATGCCTGCGAACCAACTTTTTGCCATGTCTATACAAGATCTACCATCTTGGTTTAAACATAGAGTTAGCTTCTTTGCAAAATAGTGCACTTTAAGGCAGGAAAGCTTCCCAAATTCTGAAAATGAATTTAATATCGTAGGGAGATAACATTAACAGGCAGTCGTTGTGTAGAGGCTATGATCTAGTCTGCATAGTTTCAAAACCTGACTCTGCCACCATGGGCAATTCCTTTAGTCTATGAGTGTCAGTTTACCTATCTCTGCAATGAAAATAGCAGTTGGCCATTTGTATATATTCTTTGGAGAAATGTCTTTTCAGATACTTTGCCCAATTTTTATAGTTATCTGTTTCTTTATTATTGAGTTGTAATAGTTGTTTATATATTCTAGATAAAAGTCACTCGTCAAATAATTCGTCAAAATTCTCTGCCACATAGAATGGTGATGATTACATGATTTATGACCTGCAAAGTGCTCAGAAGTAGGCTTGGTATATGGTACATGCTAAAGTTATTATTATGAAGCTTGGACCAGGTTCTCTTAGCAACCTAAAAGCTATTAAATGCTTCTCTCCTGGCTGCTAAACAATTTTTGTCCATTAAAGAATGATTGATATTTCACAGAATCCAGGGGTCTTATGACTTGCTCAAAAGTAAGTAAAGAAAGAAAACAATTATAAGATGTGATGCCTGTTCCATCACCAGAAGCACTTATTTTTCATCTTCACAACTTTGCTATAATCACCACATATCCATACTATAGTTTCATACAGTATTTTTTTATACGTAGTTTAGTAAATTTTAAAATAAAATTGTATATTATTTTAATGTTTTAATTTGATTATATATACAAATCTTTTATTTTTGCTATCTTTTAATTTGATATACATTGAATGTCTTCATTTTTTCTTTTTTTTCTTTTTTTTTCCTTTATGATTAAAACTCTTAGCAAAATTGGCACACAAGGGACGTAACTCAATGTAATAAAAGCCATCTATGACAAACTCACAGCTAACGTAATACTGAATGGGGAAAAGTAGAACGTATTCCCTCTGAGGACTGGAAAAAGACAAGGATGCCCACTCTCACCACTCCTCTTTAATATAGTACTGGAAGTCCTAGCCGGAGAAATCAGACAAGACAAAGAAATAAAAGGCATCCAAATTGTTTAAGAGGAAGTCAAACCCTCACTGTTTGCTGATGATATGATCGCTCACTTCAAAAACCTAAAGACTCCACCAGAAAGCCCCTAGAACTGATAAAAGAATTCAGTAAAGTTTCTGGATACAAAATTAATGTACACAAATTAACTCTCCTATACACCAACAGTGACCAAGCAGAGAATCAAGTCAAGAACTTAACCATTTTTACAATAGCTGCAAAAACAAACAAACAAACAAACAAAACACTTAGGAATATACCTAAACAAGGAGGCGAAAGACCTCTACAAGAAAAACTACAAAACAATGCTGAAAGAAATCACAGACAACACAAAGGGAAACACATCCCATGCTCACGGATGGGTAGAGTCAGTACTGTGAAAATGACCATACTGCCAAAGGCAATCTACACATTCAATGCAATCCCCATCAAAATACCACCATCATTCTTCACAGAATTAGAAAACACAATTCTAAAATTCATATGGAAGTTAAAAAGATCCTGCACAGCCAAAGCAAAACTAAGCAAAAAGAATAAATCTGGAGGCATCACACTACCTGATTTCAAACTATACTATAAGGCCATACTCACCAAAACAGGGTGATGCTGGTATAAAAACAGGCACATAGACCAATGGAACAGAATAGAGAACCCAGAAATAAACCCAAATACTTACAGCCAACTGATCTTTGACAAAGCAAACAAAAACAAAGTGGGGGAAACGACACCCTTTTCAACAAATGGTGCTGGGATAATTGTCTAACCACATGTAGGAGAATGAAACTGGATCCTCATCTCTCATCTTACACAAAAATCAACTCAAGATGGATTACGGACTTAAATCTAAGACCTGAAGCTATAACAACTCTAGAAAATAATATTGGAAAAACCCTTCTAGACATTGGCTTAGTCAAGGATTTTATGACCAAGAACCCAAAAGCAAATGGAATAAAACCAGAGATAAATAGCTGGGACATAATTAAAGAGTTTTGCACGGCAAAAGGAACAGTCAGCAGAGTAGACAGACAACCCACAGAGTGGGAGAAAATCTTCACAATCTATACATATGACAAAGGACCATGTCCAGAATCTACAACAAACTTAAATCAGCGATAAAAAAACAAGCAATCCCATAGAAAACTGGGCTAATAACATGAATAGGTAATTCTCAAAAGAAGATTTACAAATGGCCAACAAATATACGAAAAAAATGCTCAACATCACTAACAATCAGGGAACTGCAAATCAAAACGACAATGCGATACCAACTTACTCCACAAGAATGGCCATAATCAAAAAAATCAAAAAGCAGTAGATGTTGGTGTGGATGCAGAGATCAGGGAACACTTCTACACTCCTGTTGGGAATGTAAACTAGTACAGCCACTGTGGAAAACAGTGTGGAGATTCCTTAAAGACCTAAAAGTAGAACTACCATTTGATCCAGCAGTCCCACTAATGGGTATCTACTCAGAGGAAAATAAGTTATTACATGAAAAAGATACTTGCACATGCATGTTTATAGCTGCACAATTAGCAATTGCAAAATTCTGGAACCAACCCAAATGCCCATCAATCAATGAGTGGATAAAGAAACTGTGGTATGTGTGTATGTATGTATGTATGTATGTATGTATACACACACACACACACACATACACACACACACACACACACACAAATGGAATACTACTTAGCCATAAAAGGGAATGAATTAATGGCACTCGCATTGACCGGGATGAGATTGGAGATTATTATTCTAAGTGAGGTAATTTAGGAATGGAAAAATCAAACATCATATCTTCTCACTGATATGTGAAAGCTAAACTATGAGGACACCAAAGACATAAAAATGATACAATGGATTTTGGAGACTCGCAGAGAAGGGTGGGAGGGTGGCGAGGAAAAAAAGACTACAAATAGGGTGCAGTGTATACTGCTTGGGCGATGGCTGCACCAAAATCTCACAAATCACCACTAAAGAATGTACTCACATAACCAAACACCACCTGTACCCTAATAACCTACGGAAAAATAAAAAATATTATCAAATAAAGCAGGATTCTTGCTTTATTTTTCTAATTATTGCTTTATTTTATTGGTTAAAGTGTAAAAAAAATTAATGTCAAAAAAAAAGAAGAGTTTCTTCAAATCACAGTTAAGCAAGAATACTGACAGTTATGAACAGGAATGAAAGCATCCAAAACAACTTCTATTGTCACTTTAGAAGACAAAAACTTCCTGAACTAGACAGTCAACACCATTATTGGATATAAACTAATATTAATTCAGTGAAAAATTTGTTGATAGTTTAATGCTAAGTCCAGTAAATATCATAGTGATGAAGCTTTGTCATGTCACTTTTGTCATATTTGCAGGACTTTAAAAAAATCAAGGCATAAACTTGGGTCATAAGGCTAGGAGTATAGATACTTTAACTGCTAAAGGACTGTCAAATTCAGAACATTTGGGGAGATCATAAAAGGGGGTTAACTATCTCAACAGGTCTTTAATAAAAATGAACCTGGTCTATTTGGTGAAAAGATTAACTTAAACCTCTTTTAGTCTTCTTGGTCTTAGGGAACTAGTGGATTTAGAATGGCCTTTCAAAAGTAGAGGAGCTTACATATTAATACTTTGCCACCTGTAAAGCTAAAATCCAAGACAGCTTTTTCAATATAACTTAGAAAGAACTGGCCTTTTGTCCTTGCAAAGATAAACTGATGGTTCTTCCCTAGTGAAGATTGGTTTTTAGTCCCCAGTTACTCATCATTCTGAACTCTATGAAAAATTAGTTCATTTATCTTGAAAAGTCGGGAGGAGGAGCATGCACTCGAACTTTTAAAATTGGATCTCAGGTGGAAGAATCAGATTATAGATTCATCTTAATCATTGGTACATAACACATTCATCGTTGGTCCATACATAGCCTGCTTTTATTTAACACGTTTTTTATAATAATGAAATAAGCACTGGCTGGGCTCAGTGGCTTCCACCTGTATGGCCAGCACTTTGGGAGGCCGAGGTGGGTGGATCACTTGAGCTCAGGAGTTTGAGACCAGCCTGCGCAACATGGTGAAACCTCATCTCTACAAAAAGTACAACAATTATCCAAGTGTGGTAGCATGCTCCTGTAGTCGCAGCTATTCGGGAGACTGAGGTGGGAGGATTGTTTGAGCCTGAGAGGTCGAGGGTGCAGTGAGCTGTGAGCACGTCACTGTACCTCAGCATGGGCCACAGAGTAAGACCTTGTCTTAAAAAGAAAAAAAAGAAAGAAGCATATGTAAGCACTTTATAAACTAAAGTTAGGGCCTTGACCTTTAACCTACATTTTCTTATATGACTTTAACCCATCTCGTCACCTTCCTTCCTCTCACTAGACATAACCATCATCCTAAATTCCTTCATTTCCTCATTTCATTGCTTTCCTGTTGATATAATGTTAACGCATCTAGATGTGTTCCTAAAGAGTATGTTTTGAATTATTTGGCCTTTTTAACTTTATACAAAGTACATTATGTTGCATGTGTTTATCTGAAACTTTAAAAATATTCAATATTGTATTAAGATTCATTCATCATTGGAGTACTAATTATTATTCAATTAGTAATTATCTAATTAATTAATTAGTAATTATCTAATTAATTTATTAGATAATTATTAGATAATTAATCTAATTTATTAATAATTAATTATCTAATAAATTATTTTATTTTAGATTAGATAATCTAATTTATTAGATTATCTAATTTATCTATTTTATTTTAAATTATTAGATATTTTATTTTATTAGATTATTATTTATCTAATAAATTATTTTATTTTGTGAATGCAATGCTGTTTATATATTAATTTTCCTATGGATAGGCTTTTGAATTATTACCAGGTTTTTGCTATTATGAACACTGCTATGAACACTGTAATACATTTTTCTCGTAGCGTATGTGCAGAAAAGTTCTCATGATTGCGTAATTACTGGTTCATACAGTATATAAATGTGAATCCATACTATTTCCAAAACTTGGTATGGTTATGACTTTTTAACTTTTCACTATGAAAGTGTTATGAAATAGTTTTGCATCATGGTCTTGATTTGTATTTTACCAATCACATATGATTATTGGCCATATGTTTTTCTCTTCAGAAAAGTCTACTTTTCTATTTGTTTTTGTTTTTTTAAATATATATATATTTTTATTATACTTTAAGTTCTAGGGTACTTGTGCACAACGTTCAGGTTTGTTACATATGTATACACGTGCCATGTTGGTGTGCTGCACCCATTAACTCGTCATTTACTTTAGGTGTATCTCCTAATGCTAACCCTCCCCCCTCCCCCCACCTCACAACAGGCCCCAGTGTGTGATCTTCCCCTTCCTGTGTCCATGTGTTCTCATTGTTCAATTCCCACCTATGAGTGAGAACACGCAGTGTTTGGTTTTTTATCCTTGCGATAGTTTGCTGAGAATGATGGTTTCTGCTTTTCTTGATAATTTATAGAGTTCATTTGCTAGTTTCTGTAACATGAGTATCTTCTGTACACTTGGAATTGTCTTTATTTTCATAAAGGTGCCCTTTGATGAATAAGTGTTCTTAATATTTTTTTATTCAAGTCAATGCTTTTGGTATTTTATTTAAGAAATAGTTCTCTATTACAAGATCTGAACTATATACAACAAAATGTTTTAAAGCGTTTTCAAGTTGTCGTTGAGTTTTTTTCCTCCTCCTCTTCTCCTTCTCTGTTTGAATTTGTCTTAATCTAATCCATCCAAAATTATTTTTAATGTGGTGGGATAGGAATCTGATTTTGTCTTTATCCATATGAATGACTACTCTTTTTCATTTATTGAATTTTCATTTAATAAAAAGTCCTTTTTTCCCTACCTCTGTCTACATCAAAGTTCCATAAGTGAATGAATATTTCTAGGCTTTCTAGCTCACGAATAATTTTTTTTCTACCCTAATATCACTCTTTATTAATTAGTTTAACTTCGTAACAGCTCCTAGTCACTGATCGTGGAAGCCCTCCTCTCTTTTCTTATTCTTCCATAGTGTCTTGGCTATTATTATCTCTTTACGTTTCCAAATACATTTTAAATTGGTCTTTTATTTTTTCTATTTAATTTGCTTTTATTTTTCCTTCCAGTCAAGAGGTTCAGAAACTAAAGGCCAAATTGGTGTAAAACTTTCTCAACAGGTTCCGCCTGCCCATTGCACAAACAAAATCAATTCACAGAGACCACAGCATTGCAGTAAAGAAAGGGTTTAAGTCACATGAGGCCAGTCATGCCAGGAGGGATACAGATTTATTACTCAAATCAATCTCATTGAAGGCTGTGAAGTTAGAGGTTTTTCAAAGCTAGTGTGAGGAAAGGAGTGAGGATGGCTAGGCAATGATTGCTGCTTGCTGCTGATTGGTTGGGGGTACAATCATGGGGTGTGGGAAATGATCCTCCTACACATTGAATTATTCTGGGTAGGGCCACCGGAGTGGTTGGTAGGTCCTGGTGGAGTCATTGGTCATTAGACAAGCAAAAAATCTGCAAAGGTCTTTCAGAAGGTCAGTGTTATCTTCTACAGTAGTGGATGTTATCTGCAGGAATAAATGGGGAAGCTACACTTTAGCAGAATTCAGTCTCCTCTATCCTCCTAGCCTGGTGGTCTCTCATTAGCTTTATGAAAATGGCTGAGTTTTGGGGAAGGGCTTTTATCATTTAAAACGTAAGTATCTCCCGTAGTTACCTTGGCCTAAGGCCAGGAATAATTAAGGGCAGCTTGAAGGCCAAAAGCAAGAGAGGGTTTGGCTGGATCAGATCTCCTAAACTGATGTAATTTTCTCACTGATAGAATTTTTGCAAAGGTGGTCTCATTGGCTAGAAGCCTATTTTTTATAGCCAGAGGCTAAGAATGGTTTTTACATTGCAAATAGTTAAAAAAAAGTATATGTATACATATACACAAATGCATATATATGTGTGCCTCTGTATGTTATGTATATACACATATATACATGTCTATAGGTATGTACACATATATACATGTATACATAGGTGTGTATACATAGGTGTGTATACATATACGTGTATACATAGGTGTGTATGTGTATATATACATAAATATACACACACATATACATACATATACATGATGGAGCACCAGAAAACCAACCATAGCTCCTCAATCTATAAAACCAATCTACATGTTAGGGCTTTTCTCTTGCCTCCCGAAACAAAACCACATTAGAAGCTTCCTAGATTATGATCCACCAGTCCTGGGGTTTTGGGGGAGGAGGAATAGGAGGACAAATGCCAGAGGTCACTTGGTATGTGTTTACTTTTCTAGGATCTCCATACCCAAGTGTCTACTCAATGCAATGGTAGGGATAAGCAAACTTTAATAGTGCCTTTGCTACTATCCTGCCCTTTGAGGCTGGCTCCTGGCCCAGGTCAAAGTCATCATCTTCCCCAAAGATCTCAAAACATCTTGTACCCTCCAACCCCTAAGATTCCCCATGGTTTTCTTGGTCTTTTGCCTCTAATTCCTCTAGAATTCATTTTGGAGGGGAGAGCCTGTTACATCTGCTAGATATGTATTATAAAATTTTAAACTGATATACTTTACGTGAACTTGGAAATTATGCCTCAAAAGGTAATATTCAGAATAAAATATACATGCAAGGAAATGGACATGTTTATATAAATCATTGATTAAATCATATCCCAGCAAGTTTACTATATAAGCTTCCACACTTTACCTACTTTGCTGCAAGACTTGTGCAGTCCAGTTTATTAGGTCCTGATTAAAATGATTTCAGTTACATAATACCTACATAGTAAGGGCTCCATCTGAGTCAGTAATATTTGACGGATTTCACAAGTCAAGGGGAACTATAAAATAGAAAATGAGCAGCAGCTAGCCAGAGAAACTTCTGTTCCTGATGGAAGACAGAATTGAAACAAATAGCGAGCTGGAAACTAGTTGGAACATTAATACGTGACAGAAACCCTGGCAAAGCAAAATAGATTCCTTTAGCTAAATCAAATCTGTGCATAACCTATTGGTCTACGTCTGTTAACAGTCACTCTATTCCTGAGAATGTTGGTGGCAGCAAATTTATACACTTCTGCAGCAACCTCGATGCTTGCCTCCTCAAAGGAAAGAATTCAACTGAGGGGCATAAGGCTGAAGCAGGGCAGGTTTTACAGTAGGAGTGAAAGTTTATTAAGAAGCTTTAGATCAGGAATAAAATGGAGTAAAGTACACTTGGAAGAGGGCCAAGGGGGTGACTTGAGAGATCAAGTGTGTGGTTTGACTTTTTGACTTGGGATTTTATATGCTGTCATGCTTCCGGGGTCTTGTGTCCCTTCTCCCTTGATTCTTCCCTTGGGGTGGGCTGTCCACATGTGCAGTGGCCTGCCAGCACTTGGGAGGGGAGCATGCATAGTGCATTTACTGGAGGTGTACACATGCTAATTTGAGGCATTCCTCCCTTACCAATCAAATGTCCCTAGGAGGTAATATACCAGTTAATCTCTGCCATTTTGCCTCTTAGTGTACATGCTTGAGCCCACTTGCCCAACTCCTGAGATCTTAATGGGAAGCTGGTGATCACCAGTTTCAGGTGTTTCTATCTATAGAGAGACTGCCTTTCCCTGGTGCTGGTTGCAACCAATTATTTTAGAGAGACAGTTAACCACATGACACCACCTAGTGGTCGCCTGACATTCCTGGTTGTGGGTAGGGGGAGCCCTCTCCCGCCCTGCTCTGTCTGACTACCTGCCCACTGTAACAAGAATAATTCTCTGTGTAATTATACTAAGTCCCAAGTGATTAATGTAAGTAAAATATTCCATAAATATATTTAAGTTGTGTTTGTCTGTGTCTTGGCTAGTCAGCAAATTCATGCATTTATGCATTTGTTGAAAATGAGGCAGTCATCGCTAATGAAACTGCAGCTAGATGGGAGAAGAAAGTGATTTGATAAATGCTTCATAGCAGTTGCATTAAGTCAATTTGCACAAGTTGACAAGACTCAAAAGCCTGATAGAGAAATCACCGTTTTTTATTTAAAGATGCTGACAAGAAAAGGGGCTAGGAGCTACTTGCTTTTTTAGTGGTGCCATAAAAGTAAGCAGGCAATGCCATCTACAGTAAATGAACATTGAATAAGTATATATACTTATTCATTTTATTTAGTAATTTAGGAAGAAGAGTTTATTGCTTTCATGGTTTGCAGACATGGTTAAAATTTGAAAATAATTATGGCAAGTAATAATCATTACCACGCTAATGTGAAGTCATATGGACAGACATTCTTCAGAAACACTCCCAGTTGGCAGTTTCTGAGCAATCACATGTATAAGCTGTGTGTTGGCCTTTACAAAAAGCACCATGGATGAAACTAGCTCTCAAGTCTAGATACCAAAATCTCAAACCTATCTATATATTGCGTTTAATCCTAGATACTGTTTCTAGTTATGCAGTTCCTCAGGGTACTAGAGTCCTCTTATTAAAAGTGGTACTTGTGACGGGGGAGTGGTCGCTATCTGGTCTGGTGGTGCAGGGATAAAAGAACTTACCAAGACAATTGTAGGTAAAGAAAGGCAGATGTATTAAAAAAAAGTATGAAATTATATTGCAAGAAGGCAATGGGCAGACCAGCACAAGAGGAGCTTACTGTAAGGAAACAAAAGCTTCCTGGAGATTTTATAGGATGGTTCTTGGGCTGCAGAGTGCTACATGCAGTACTGGTAATGTCAAGGCTGCAGTGAGCCAACTTGAATTTATCAGCCCAGGGTCTGGTGATAGCTGGGGACAGGAAGATTGTGACACACAAAGCAAAGACTATTTGTGCAGGAGAGCTACGTGTCCTGGACTACAAAGCAAGGCAGACGTAAGTCTGCCTTATAGCTTATCTGCTTTCTCTTTTTGCTTTCCCCTCCTCCCACTAGCTTGGCTCCTCTTCCCTAATTAGGGCTCCACAGTACTAATATGTTTTACCTTTTAAAGTTTGAGAAAGTTGCAGAAACTAAGGAGATATCATCTATAACTGATAAATTGTTATTCTGGAAGAAAAAAGGTAAATTCCATATGAATTTAATTAAAGGCGTGAGTAATCAGTTGTTCTTTGCCCTCATTTGATCTTTTGCTATTTAATTTACAAATTCATCCAAATTTTGTGTTTGATCTTGAGAAATTCAGCATTTATACCTAGAACTCAACACATTCAACAGGTTTAGAAAGAGGAGGAAGTGAGAAGAAAGTCAGCGAAAATTTTTCATAACTTAAGAATATGGTTGTTTGTAGAAATTAAATGTGAAATTATAGTTAAAGCACTTTAACATGTTTTTCTCACACATAACACTCAATAACTTCACGGTTAACGTCATGTAAAACACTATTACCATTAAATTCAGTTGCTAGAGTCACATGAAGGAGTTGGAGGGAGCCAGGCAGTGGGGATGGTGCTGAGTGGTTTCATGTTTTACTTTAATTACTCTTGTAAGACATCATCACTCTTTTGGCTGCCTTTTATGTGGAAAGGCCTCACATTATAAAAACTGAAAATGCTACTGTATAGCAAAAAAACTGTTTTTCCTCTTCTATACTCTCACAACACTTCTGGTCACCAAAATGTGTGGGGATTTTTTTCCCCCACACAAAGCAATTTTCTACTTTCCTTAGACACCATCCTACCATTTAACTCAACTCAGACACTATCTTTCTGGAGAGAGCATCAGACCCCACAGGTGAAGGACTCAGTCACACAATATTGCCCCCATCGATTGCAAGCCCAGGTTCTCACCTGTGCTTTTGTCCTAAAGGTTCCCACTATCCCTTCCTCAGGTTCAATTACTATTACTCTTTTATTCTAAGAGGATACAACTAAGGAACAACTAGATGGAAGAGATGCATTTGGCAAGGTATAGGGAAAGGGGTGTGGAGCTTCTATGCACTCTCCCGCTGTGCCACTGTCCCAGCACCTCCAAGTGTTAAGCAACCTGCAGAGTCTCCAATCCTATCCTTTTGGCTTTTTATGGAGGCTTCATTATGTAGCCATGATTGGTTAAATCATTGGCCATTGGTGATCAACTCGCCCTTCAGCCCCTCTCCCCTCTGAGAAGGTCAGGGGGCTGAAAGTTCCAACTCTCTAATTGCTTGGTTGATCTGAGCTACCCAGGAGGCCCCAGCCACAATCACCTCATTAGCATACAGAAACACACTTATTACTAAAGGGATTCCAGGGTTTCAGGAGCTGTATGCCAGGAAACTAAGAGAAAGACCAAATATAGATATAAGTAACATTATACTGTGATACAAGAAATAAGACATATATATGTGTCTTATATCTTATTATATCATGATATCACAACCACATACTTGATCCTCTAGCTTCCCTCTGTAGCTAGGATGCAGGGTCATGACCCAGCATTATGGATTAGATTTTGAACCCAAAGCTAGTGATGTTCAGGAAAAAGGTTTGTGAAGTTTCCTTTCTGGAAGCTGCAGTTCTCAGGCAGGATTGACCATGGTGTTAGTCATGGGGTCAAGTTCACTGCCAGAAGGGTCAGCTAGGCAAGCTGCTCAGACCAGAACTCAGCAGCGGCATGTTTCAGGCATTGTTTCTGCCTGTGGAGGTTTTAAGCCTACTTCTCAAGTCCTCTGGAGGTTCTATGAATTCCCCTTTTAATAAGTTTCTTTTCTGCTGAAAACAGTAAGCCAACATCTGTTTCTGTTTACATTCAATTCAGATCTCTGATTAGTAGAACTTCTGTGTTACTAAGGCTTTCTCCAAAAGCCTGTGTTAACTGTATACTTTTATTATTTTTACTTATTTATTTTTGAGACCGAGTCTCACTCTGTCTCCCAGACTGGAATGCAATGTTGCAATCTTGGCTCACCGTAACCTCTGCCGCCCGGGTTCAAGCTATTCTCCTGCCTCAGCCTCCTGAAAAGCTAGGATTACAGGTGGGGTGAATTTTTGTATTTTTACTAGAGATGGGGTTTCACCATCTTGGTCAGGCTGGGCTTGAACTCCTGACCTTGTGATCTGCCTGCCTTGGTCTCCCCAAGTGCTGGGATTACAGGTGTTAGCCGCCACGCCCAGCCAACTGTATACTTTTAAATAGCACCTTGAGTGGGAAAAGTCAGCCCTAAAAACTCAATTTACCAAAAAATGTTTGCACCAAATATGTATAAAGGGGCAGTTTTCTGAATCATTATTTATTAATACTTTTTAAAGCTTGTTATACAAGTAAAACCTGATTCTTCTAAAAGAAAAAAGAAAAGAAAAATGATAAACAGATAAACACACATATACTTTAAAATGTATCCAGAAACAAATAATGTTAGTAGTAAAGCCTCTCACACTTTTTTTATACATGTTTATAAAGATAAACATACAGTCGTCATGTGTCACTCAATGACAAGAATACGTTCTGAGAAATGCATTGTTAGGCAATTTTGTTGTTGTGCTAAGATCACAGAGGGAACTTAGAAAAACCTAGAGGGATAGCCTCCTGCACACCTAGGCTATGTGGTATAGCCTAGCCTATCGCTCCTAGGCTACAAAGCTGTACAGCATGACTACACTGAATACCACAGGCAATCGTAACACAATGGTAGATATTTATGTATCTAGACATAAAAAAGGTACAGTAAAAAAATAAAGTGTAAGAGATTAAAAAAACGGTCACCTACATAGGGCACTTACCATGAATGGAATTTGCAGGACTGAAAGCTGCTCTGCCTAAGTCAGTGAGTGAGTGATGAAAAATAAAAATTAATTTCTAAGCCCCCAGCAGACTGAAAGGACTCCTTGCGATCAAAGGGACACCAGAGAAAAGGTGGAGGCTGAATTCCTGTGGGATGGGAGGTAAGACGCCTCATTATACTCCCTCCCTCAATAACCTCCATTAGGCTTTTTCCCCTAAGGGCTAAAGAGAAACCAGCAGTTTCAAAAGTCCTCCACCACTGATTTTAACCAACTGCCTGAAGCTGCCCCTCCCTTTTGCTAACTTGAGGCAGTATCTGACCAGCATTCCTTCCTGGTAAGAGACCACCAGCCATGGCGGGGTGGTTCTGACCACTCTATGGAGGATGTGCAGTTAACATTTCCGTGTCCTCTGCTTCACCTTTTGACATCAGAGGGTCAAAAAACTCCACGCTTGAGCCATGCTAACACGGCCATTTTTTGAACATGAGACCGAAGAAAAGGCATGAAGCTTAATTGCACATGTGCCCATTCCTTCTTTCATAAATATTCATGATTCCTCCTATAGCTTACTGAATATGTATATTTGGCCGCTTCCTTCAGCATAAATCCCTGTCCTATTCTTCCCACTCTGGAAATACCTGTTTTCAGCTTCTGGCCAGAGGCTTCACTTCCCAGCTTGTCAGAATGACCATATACAGGCTACAACGCTTTATGAGAAATAAAGCTCTCCTTTCTAAATTTATAGATGTCCTCATTCTTCAGTTAACAGTGGTAAATGAATGTGAAGGCCTGGGACATTACTAGACACTACTATACATTTTCTAAACACTCTACAATTAGTCTATGCTAAATTTATTAAAAAAAATAAAGTAAAAGCACTATGATGTTATAATGGCTACGTCACTAGGTGATAGAAATTTTTCACCTCTACTATGATCTTATGAGATCACCATCATATATAGAGTCTGTTGACCAAAATGCATAACTGTATGGAAAGCTGTGTCCCATACCTATTTTAGCAGTACTCTTTTTTGTTTACAATGCATAAATATCTTTTTGCTGCAATTAAAACATTTTTAGTTTCATAATCCAAATTTTAACACTTGTCTAATAATTTACGTGTTAGACACATTATTTATTTAGCCAATCCTGCAATATTATTGGCTAAAACATTGCTTCTAACACCTCAATATTATAAACACTATTAATATAATAATCTTCTACATCATACACTTTTTACATCTGCTCTACTATTTTCTTAAGAGTAGAACATTTGAAAGACTAGGGAGTTGGGAGGGACATCTGTGAAAGGGTAAAATCTCCAAAAGTTATGCTGATACATGCATTTCACCTTTTATCAGTATAAATTTATACTTTAGGCTGGGCATGGTGGCACATGTCTGTAATCCCAGCACTTTGGGAGGCCAAGGCGGGTGGATTGCCTGAGGCTGGGAGTTTGAGACCAGCCTTGCCAATGTGGTGAAACCTCATCTCTACTAAAAATACAAAAAATAGCAGGGTGTGGTTGCACACATCTGTGATCTCAGCTACTTGAGAGGGTGAGGCATGAGAATTGCTTGAACCCAGGAGGCAGAGGTTGCAGTGAGCTGAGATCGTGCCACTGCACTCTAGCCTGGATGACAGAGCAAGACTCCATCTAAAAAATAAATAAATAAATATATATATATGTATATACACTACCATACAGTTGAATTTTCTGCCCTGACAGGAATGCTTTATATCTGTGCTGTGTGATACGGTAGCCACTAATTATGCCTGGCTATTGATTACTTAAAATATTGCTAGTGTGACTGTAGAACTGAACTTTTCATTTAAATTAACTGTAATGTACATACCCACATGTAGCTACCATGTTGAACAATGTAACTTTATATCCTTTAATTTTTTTGACAATACGTTGTGATATATAAATACGATGAGGGAGTCTCTGTTTTTATGGGTTCTCGCATGGTATCACTTACCATCTCATTTATTTGTAATAGTTTTCTGACATTTTACATCATGTACACTTGATTTCCTACAGAGAGGTGGCGGTAACCTTCCCTAAATAAGAAAAATAAAAGTAAGTAAAAAAAAAAAAAAGACATAATTATGTTCATGCTTTTCAAAGGTAATCATTAGCCTATAGTTCTGAAACATGTTAGTATCAAGAAAGTCAAAAGTGACAGAATCTTTGTGTCAAATCTATTTTAAACATGAATTTGTACATTTTTATTGCTTTTTTCATTGCTTCATAGCCAACGTTTTCGGTTTTGAGTGTTTCCATTTAGAAATATTTGATGACATTTAAAATTTCTTCCTAGGAAACTTTTTAACATTCATTTTTAGTTTCATAATGAAGTAATTTAAACTTGTGTCTTTAATCTCCATTAATGTCACATCTTCCTCATTCATGTGCTTTCATTTATTTTTAATTTTTGTCTTTAGTTTTCTGACAGCTGAAGTACTAACATGCATATAAATTAATTGAGTTATAACGTTTTTCCCTTCAAAACTCCTTAGATCTTGCTCGACTGACTTCTGGATTTTGAGGTTGCTTTATTCAAATATGATAGTAGTTGTTTCTGGGATTTTTGGAAACCTGGTTTTCCTGAATAACTATTCTTGATATTTTTCTTTATAATTTGTCTTTAGCTAAATTTAGGTATACTTATTATGCATATGAACATCCTATATTGTCATCTTGTCATCTTTTCTCATTATCTTATCCTATTTTTTTTTTCTTCTGCATTTGGGAAACAGTATTGAAGTTACTCTCCATGTCAACATTTGATTATTCTTCAAAAGCTTTTCCATTCTTCATTGGGTGTGTGAATTTCCATTTTAATATTGCATTTTTAAGTCTGTATTAATTTTACCTCCTTTGTTTTTTTTTCTGTTACCTACTCATCCTTTTTGTTCACTTTCATCTCCATTTTTTTTCTCTCCACATGAACTTCTGCCTCTCCTTTAAAGAGGCCATGTCTTTATTTAATCTGTAAATTATTCTTAAAGAGTTAAAAAAAAATAGCTCTCCCTCCCCCTCCCCCCTCCCTCCCCCTCTCCTGTCTCCCACTTTCCACGGTCTCCCTCTGATGCCGAGCCGAGGCTGGACTAGACTGCCACCATCTCGGCTCACTGCAACCTCCCTGCCTGATTCTCCTGCCTCAGCCTGCCGAGCGCCTGGGATTGCAGGCGCCCGCCGCCACGCCTGACTCGTTTTTGTATTTTTTGGTGGAGACGGGGTTTCGCCGTGTTGGCCGGGCTGGTCTCCAGCTCCTGACCATGAGTGATCTGCCCGCCTGGGCCTCCTGAGGTGCCGGGATTGCAGACGGAGTCTCGCTCACTCAGTGCTCAATGTTGCCCAGGCTGGAGTGCAGTGGCGTGATCTCGACTCGCTACAACCTCCACCTCCCAGCCACCTGCCTTGGCCTCCCAAAGTGCCGAGATTGCAGCCTCTGCCCGGCCGCCACCCCGTCTGGGAAGTAAGGAGCATCTCTGCCTGGCTGCCCAGTCTGGGAAGTGAGGAGCGCCTCTTCCCGGCCGCCATCCCATCTAGGAAGTGAGGAGCCTCTCTGCCCGGCCACCCAACGTCTGAGATGTGGGGAGCGCCTCTGCCCCGATGCCCCGTCTGGGATGTGAGGAGCGCCTCTGCCCGGCCGCGACCCCGTCTGGGATCTGAGGAGTGTCTCTGCCCAACCGCCACCCCGTCTGGGAGGTGAGGAGCGTCTCTGCCCCACCACCCCTTCTGAGAAGTGAGGAGCCCCTCCGCCCGGCAGCCGGCCCGTCTGGGAAGTGAGGAGCGTCTCCGCCGGGCAGCTGCCCCATCCGCGAGGTGGGGGGCAGCCCCCGTCCGGCCAGCCGCCCCGTCCGGAAGGTGGGGGGCGCCTCCGCCCGGCCGCCCCGTCTGGGAAGTGAGGAGCCCCTCTGCCCGGCCGCCACCCCGTCTACCATCTGGGAGGTGTACCCAACAGCTCATTGAGAACAGGCCATGATGACGATGGTGGTTTTGTCGAATAGAAAAGGGGGAAATGTGGTAAAAAGAAACAGAGATCAGATTGTTACTGTGTCTGTGTAGAAAGAAGTAGACATAGGAGACTCCATTTTGTTTTGTACTAAGAAAAATTCCTCTGCCTTGGGATGCTGTTAATCTATAACCTTACCCCCAACCCAGTGCTCTCTGAAACATGTGCTGTGTCCACTCAGGGTTAAATGGATTAAGGGCGGTGCAAGATGTGCTTTGTTAAACAGATGCTTGAAGGCAGCATGCTCGTTAAGAGTCATCACCACTCCCTAATCTCAAGTACCCAGGGACACAAACACTGCGGAAGGCCGCAGGGTCCTCTGCCTAGGAAAACCAGAGATCCTTGTTCACATGTTTATCTGCTAACCTTCCCACCACTATTGTCCTATGACCCTGCCAAATCCCCCTCTCTGAGAAACACCCAATAATGATCAATAAATACTAAAAAAAAAAAAAATAAAATCCTGGGATAGATCAGTTTTAGAGTTTTACTTTTTCCTGGAGACCCAGAAGAGATGATAGTTTTCTCCTTATTCTCAAACTATTGAATAGCCTAAACTTGGCTGTCATTCTTAGTCATCCCTAATCCAAGGAGATCCCATCCAGACCCACGGTCATTGAATTTTCCTTTTTCCTGCTTTCTACCCATGTATTTGCAGTTGAAGGGCTATGTTCACAGCTTCCTGTCAAATTTTTTGTTTCTAATAAGAATTTTCTCCATTAATCTGCTTTTTTTCCTCCATTGCCTAGTTCTCTGGTACCTAAACTGACATAGCACAGGAAAAATGAGTTTCCCAGCTTGTCCTTCTCCTGCATCTGAAGTTCGTAGAGTGCACAGCACCAGCGCTCTGCTCTTACCTCCCTTCCAGGAGTTTGCCGGGACTTTGACATTTCTCCCAGGATGAAGAAAACCAACAAATGGAAAGATGAGGGAAAGAAGAAATAGTATCCACTTGCCTCACTGGTCACCATTTTAAGAGGGTAAGAAGACATTTTATTTTTTTTTCTATACATATAAGAAATGCTACATTTCTGAGTTAGAGAACCGATACTTGGGAGATACTGACAAAGATTCTCTCCTTGACCAAATTCTAGTCAGCCTCTGCTGTACACTCTTCTAAAATGGGCTCTGATTTGGGGCTTCTGTGTTCATCTCTGCATTTGTCTAATTTTAAGCAAGAATCTTGCTAAGTCAATTTAGCCATAATTCCCCACTCTCCCTATCTGATCAGGTTCGTCATCTTCCACCATCCCCAGGTAATGTCTCATTACCCTGGTCTGCCTACAGCAAGAATCCTGTTAGGTTGCTTTAACCTTATGCCTGATATTTCCTCTTAGTTATTTTCCATCTACTGCTATCTCCCCTGACTCACTCCTTGGCTATAAATTCCCACTTTTCCTTGTATTGAAGTTGAGTCCAGTCTGTAACCCCTACTGCAAAAGCTCATTGCAGTAGTCCCTACACCTATCATGACCGTCTCCTTGAATAGAGTCTGCTTCAACAAGTGTCATGAAGAGTCTTGTCTTTAACAGCATGAAGGCTCGTCTTACTTTTCAGGTAGTCTATTTCATGAAGCAAAGATGCAGTGTGTCATATACTGCAGCTGGAGTACTTTATGTTTGTGTCAATTAATTGCTTATGAATATAATACAAAAATTAGCACTGGACACTAGACAGGGGAATCGCAATAGAGAAGGAGTAATTCATACAGAACTGGTTCTGTGGGAGACCAGGGTTTTATTACTACTTAAATCAGTTTCCCCGAGCATTCAGGGGTCAGAGTTTTTAAGGACAGCTTGGTGGGGTGGGGGAAGCCAGTGAGCCAGGAGTGCTGATTGGTTAGGCAGAATTGAAGTTGTCCTCTTGGGCTGAGTCAGTTCCCGGGTGGGGGCCACAAGATCAGGTGAGCCAGTTTATCCGTCTGGGTGGTGCCAGCTAATCCATCAACTGCAGGGTCTGCAAAGTATCTTAAGCACTAATCCTGGAGCAGCTTAGGGAGGGTGAGAATCTTGTAGCGCCCAGCTGCGTGACTCCTAAACCATAATTTCTCATCTTGTGGCTAGTTTGTTAGTCCTACAAAGGCAGTCTAGTCTCCAGGCAAGAAGCAGCTTTGTTTTGGGAAAGGGCTGTTATCATCTTTGTTTTAAACTATAAATTAAGTTCCTCCCAAAGCTAGTTCAGCCTACACCCAGGAAGGAATAAGAACAGCTTAAAGGTTAGAAGCAAGATGGATTCGGTTAATTTAGATCTCTTTCACTGTCTCAGTCATAATTTTCAAAGGTGGTTTCACCACTCTTGTAATCCTAGCACTTTGGGAAGCTGAGGCAGGCAGATCACTCGAGCCCAGAAGTTCAAGACCACCCTAGGCAACATGGTGAAACCCCATCTTTACACACACACACACACACACACACACACACACACACACACACACAATTAGGTGGGTGTGGTGTTGTATACCTGTAGTCCCAGCTATTTCATAGGCTGAGGTGGAAGGATCAGTCCAGGAGCTCGAGACTGCAGTGAGCTGTGATCACACCACTGCACTCCAGCACTCCAGCCTGGGTGACAGTGTGAGATGCCTTCTAAAAAAAAGAAAGGAAGGAAGGAAGGAAGGAAGAAAAAAGAAAAAAATGTCAGATTTTATTTAAACTACTACAGTAGGGGAGAGAGACTTCAGTATACAACTGAGCTGAACTCTGAAGATAGCAAAAACAGCTGAGGATTTATAGCCCACAGTGGAGTGAAGGGGTTACTGGACAGAAAATTATAAAAGGGAAACATCAAGCTTAAAGAGGATTCTTGCATAACTAGCTTAACCAACTAAAGGCAGATTGAGGAGTTAGATAATAAGAGTCGGGGGAGAGAAACTTGATCAGATATGAAGGGTGGGAAGATTCTTGTCTACAACTGGGCTCCATGCACCATGGATACAGAAGACCAAGGCTGAGGTCTAGTAGGGAAGAGGACTCAGAGGAGCCTGACTAAAGTTTGGTCAAGGAGGAAGTCTTTGTTATCAATGACATTCATTCCTCCTATATTCTTTCATCAGGATGATTCTGTCTTCCTATCCTGATGACAGAATCTAGAAGGAATGAATGTCATTAATAACAAAGGGGTTGGGGGAGGTGTCTGTGGATGGAAAATTACTAAGAGAAACATCAGGAGTAAGGCATTTATCAGTCTTACTTTTTAATATTGTGCATGTTCCTCCTGTACCATGTTTTTATGTGTATTTTAGTAAGAAAGTAAACAATCCACTGGGAACAGCTAATCAGATCACCTTTTTAAATAAAACTTTATTAGTTTTGTTAGAAAGCAACAAATGAGCACTTTCTTTCATGGGGATTTAAAATTAGCCCTTCTAATAACTTTACCTTTTTTCTACTCTTTATTCTTTCCTATTATTTATCAAATAAATAAAACCTTTACCTTTAAAAAAAATACTTCCTCAAGTCACTTTTAGAGATTTTTCAGATTACTTTCTTAGAGAAATAATGTAACTTAAAATTATAAATAAAATACATGATTGGTATGAATAGTATAGGTAGTATAAATTGCAACAGGTAATTGACAAAAATCGTATATATACTATATTTGACAAAGAAGTAATAAGAATGAAGAAAAAAAATCCCTAAATCCATAAAAGAGTTAAACACATTCAAATCCTAATAGTTTGGAGTCAGTGTTAATACTAAATGTTTTCTGAAAGCCATTTAAAAAAAGGAAGCCCAGTCAGTTATATGATTTAAGAGTCCCTATATGATAAGAACAAACCAACTTATCGGGAAACAAATAGCTATTTTGGGGGAATGAGACCGGATAGGAGTTTCTCCTGGGGACTTGCTTTCAGATCATTAAAATGAATACAAGATCCATTCATATAGCTGGTATCTAGTAAAATCACTTGTTTGGTTGACATTGTGCTTAGAGAAGCATAATCAAAAAGCTCTATATCATCCCACCTGCTGGGTCATCCAGTCTGGAACACTCAGGACACCTCATGTCAGCTTTCATCACTGCTTCAATACATACCCCCTGTTCTCTGTAATAATATTCAAGTATTTTTTACACTTCTTCACAACTGAATAATTGAATAATTTCTGTTGGTAGACGTGCTTATTAAGGAATGAGAAATGTCCCTAATATTGATAAGAGAACAGTTGTCCTTTTGTTAATTCTCAGCATAGCCTATTATGCATTCTAACAATTCTCCATGTCTATGAGCATATTTTCTTTCCATTCAAGTATCTATGTTCCAAGAATATCACTGATATTGTTTGGGGCTAAACAATCTTTTTGAATTTAATAAATATTATTTTTATAGGAATATAATGACAGATCTCATTTACTTACTTAATTTTTTTGAGAGAGTCTCGCTGTCTCACCCAGCCTGGAGTGCAGTGACGCGATCTCGGCTCACTGAAAACTCCACCTCCTGGGCTCAAGCAATTCTCCTGCCTCAGCCTCCTGAGTAGCTGGGATTACAGCCACGTGCCACCATGCCCGACTAATTTTTGTATTTTCAGTAGAGACGGGGTTTCGTCATGTTGACAAGACTGGTTTTGAACTTCTGACCTGTGGCGATCCACCTGTCTCAGCCTCCCAAAGTGCTGGGATTACAGGCGTGAGCCACTGTGCCTGGCCATCACTTACTTGATTTTTAATTTAGTATTAATTTAATTATTAGGGCAGTTTTAGTTGCAAATGAAAGAAACCAAACTTAAATTAGCTTAAACAAAAATGGAGAATCTATTAGGCAATGCAATTCCAGAAATAGTACTTGCCTCCAGCACCTCTACATCTATGAACCCGCAAAACTTACTAGAAATTGGTCCATCAACATAACTTGGCAATGGTTTCCTCTTTGTTAGAGTTATCCTCAAGCAAGCTCTCTATCTGGGGAGGCAGTTGCTAGCATCTCCAACCTAAAGCTGGTATGTATTAACATCCCTATCAAAAGTAGTCTCTCTCTTCCCAGTAGTTCCTGAACAATCTTTGGAATGAAGAAGACATAGTTTCCTGAAGAATATCATAGTGTCTATTCTAGAGAAGTTCACACTGACATGCACAAACCAGCTCGCACATGGAAATATATTTTTTGTAGCATTGTTTAAAATAGAGGAAAAATGCAATCAATAAAAGAATGCTTAAGTCAATTCTAATATTCCATCCTGTAAGATGCTATGCCTCAATTTCTTTAACAGACTTCTAACTAGTCTGTTTGATTCTCCTCTGGCCCCTCCCAACTCATCCTTCACACGGCAACATCAGTGAGATTTGTTACAATAAAAATTAGTTCTGTTATTCTCTGCTTTAAATCCTTCAATCGTTTCCCATTGCTCTTGTGAAAAATACCAAAATTCTGCATAGATCCTCAAGACACTGTCTAATCATTCTGGGTTTCTACTTGGGCCCACCTCCCACCTCTCCTTCCCTTTCTCCAAGCCCATCCCATATTGGCTTTATTTGTTGGATCTGTCATACTCCCAATGGCCACAGGGACTTTGCATGTGTTGTTTCCACTGCCCGTAAAGTTCTCAGCTCTACTCCTCTCTTTGGTTTGTTAACTTCTGTTCACCTTTCAGCCCTCAGCTGAAGCCTCATTTCCTCGGGAAGCAGTTTAAATCCCAGCCCAAAATCATAGAAATGTTCCTTCTTTCAGGGCAATTATCTCAGCTTGTAGTTACACATGCGTAAGTGGGATAATTTGATGAAAGCCTATCTCAAAATGCCATGAGAGTAGGGGCCAGGTTTGCCTTTACTTATCCCTGTGCCTGGTATAGAGTGGACACTCACTATATAATTGTTAAATGAATGGATGAAATAATTTAACTAGTATCTGTTGCATTACTTGTAAGAAGCAAAATGATGCAATGATTCAAAAGGAAGATTTTTGTTACTAATGAACCAAGAGACTGAATGTACTTGGAGTAGACAGATTTGTATGGTGACAGACTAGTGCAAGGCAGAAATGAATAAAGACTATATAGAAGGATCAAACACTGGAGGGAAATACTTATTAAGATAAAAGAGATAACACAGTATGTCTAAAAAATAAAAAAGAACTACTCTGTAATTTAAAGCACTTGAGATCTAGTCCTCACTCCCAAATTTGTATAAACAAAAGAATCTAACTTTGTTAAAACACAGTGTTGTGTATGACTTCCATTTGCCCTTTCATGTTTTTCTGTTTTTGTTTTTGTTTTCATTTTGAGACAGGGTCTTGCTCTGTCACCCAGGCTGGAGGGCAGTGGTGTAACCACGGTTCACTTCAGCCTCAACCTCCTAGGCTCAAGTGATCCTCCCATCTCAGCCTCCTGAGTAGCTGGAACTACAGGAACATCCTACAACACTCAGCTATTGTTTGTAGAAATAAGGACTCACTGTGTTGCCCAGGCTGGTCTCAAACTCCTGGGCTCAAACAATCCTCCCACCTCAGCTTCCTAAAGTGCTGGGATTACAAGCATGAGCCACTGTGCCTGGCATTTTTTTGTCCTTCACCATCTTGCTCTGTAATTTAGTTGGCTGATTACTATGGACTGCATCACTGGGTTTCCTGGGTCGCTGGCTACCACTTCAGTCTGGTTTGTGAAAGCAATTGTGATAGGTCAGAGGGAAATGGGTGAAGGTCAGCCCTTCTTCTCCTGGCTTCATCCCTGATGGATGTATATGGACGAGTTGCATTCCCAGACTAAGGTCACAGTGCCGTCAAATAGCCCTCTCTCTCTGGGTTCAATCCTTGCTCCTTCCGGTCAGAGGGTATAGATTGCCTCGACCAACGCCTGAGTAACAGCAATTGGCTACTGCACTGTGTTTTGTAGATTCCTCTCCTTGCGACCACACCATTTTAAATTGGGTGCTTATTAAACTCTCCTCAAATTACCTAAATTGAATGTACTGTGTGTTTCCCACCAGGGCTCTGCATATTCACTCATCATCTTTGAGATGGGGATAATATCTGCTCTGCCTAGCTCCTAGGATTGTCAGGAGAAATTTACCCAATATATTTTTCAGTGCAATTTGAGAATTGCACTAAATGAAGTCCTATATAAGAGCAAGGACTGTTATTCTACAGAACATTATGCCTGGCACAAGGTCAGCATTCAGTTTGCTGATGTAAAGTATTCAATTTACTGAGTGTATTACAGATGAAACCATCTTTGCTGAGCAAAGGTGGTCCCATGAATAGTATTAGTAGATTGGCCTTTCAGTGTTTCACAGGAGCACCAAAAATCTCTCACCCACGAGTCTACCTCAAGTTTCTGAAATTCTCAGCAGAAACAATAACACCTCCAATTATTAAGGTTCCAGGACTATACCAGGCACCATGCACATACTTTATATGCAGCATCTCCTATAACACAACAACCCCTGGCTGGGCGCGGTGGCTCACGCCTGTAATCCCAGCACTTTGGGGGGCCGAGGCAGGCGGACCACCTGAGGTCTGGAGTTTGAGACTAGCCTGACCAACATGGAGAAACCCTGTCTCTACTAAAAAGTACAAAAATTAGCTGGGCGTGGTGGCGCATGCCTGTAATCCTAGCTGCTTGGGAGGCTGAGGCAGGAGATTCAGTTGAACCCAGGAGACGGAGATTGCAGGGAGCCGAGACTGTGCCATTGCACTCCAGCCTGGGTAACGAGTGAAACTCCGTCTCAAAAAACCCAACAAAACACACATCGACAACAAAGCTAAAAAAACACAACAACCTCATTTCACAGGTGAGGAAACTGATATTCAGAAATATTTAACAACCTGCTGGTAAGAAGTAGAAAGACCTTATAACAAATGTCTGTACAGTTCCAAAGCTTTTATTCTGCCTGCTTCTCATACGACCACTTTGGGATAATGTTTTCAAGTTGGAGTTATCCTGTTATCTCAACAGGGTGCATTCATTTTATACACGAGCAGAGGTGAATTTAATAGATGAGTATCTCAGTGCAGGTGTTCTGAGTCCTTAAGGCATGACTGTAGGAGAAAATCTGAAACTCGAGGTATAGATCCTGGTTTCCATGAGCAAACAATATTTCTACTTTCCAGTGCTTCCAAAGGGTGCAGCTGGAAGGATACAGGGCCAAGTGTTGCCTCTGTTATTTCAAAGCGAGTCCTACTTTTAGTTATACATATACCTTTTTATAACTTAGGCAAAGCTTCAGATCTTAATAGGAGATGATTGTCTTAATGTATCTCATCTGCACTACAGTTTCTTAATGCTTTTGAAGTTCTAAAATAGTACAAGAGAAAGTTAAAAATTCTTTTCATTGCTGCATCCTTCAAATTCAAACCAAATATTAATAGTAGAAGCTCTAAGCACTTATAACAGCCACAGAATAAAATCACGAATCTCTTTCTGGATGACATAAGCCATAAAAAATTAAGAAACATTTCAGAAACATTAGGAAAAATAAAAGCTGCTTAGAAATGTAGTAAACAGAGATATGTAGGTCTAGACTAAACAGCCTCAAGTTTATAACCCCTTTTGCTTTTATCTGATGAAATAAATGGTACATGTGAATTGCTGGAAAAGTTTTGCCCATTAAACTTTGCAATTATCTCCTATTCTTTGTTCATGTAATACAATTAATACAATTACTATGGGACTAATGATTAGTGCATGATTAGTTATATTTTAGGGGAAACAGAACTTTTCAGGTCTCTGCAGTTTTAGAGATATCTTAATTTGACTCAAAAGACTAATTTCCTTTAAACTTTTAAGTAATGGAAAACAATTTTTGAGAAAATTGTTCCCATTTCCTGTGTTCATGCATCAATTTTAAATAGCCAGTTGTGTACTATTGTGAGAATCGCTATAAATTCTAATTTGCTTAATAGGAAAAGATTGATCTGAATTATCAACAAGATGTAAACAATAAAAAATATGCACTGCCCTAAAAGTCAAAATACCTGGGTTATACTTCAGACTGTGCCTCTTCCTATACACAGGCTTATGAGTTAACCTCTGTATTTTTAATCTGTAAGACAGTCTTACAGCTGTGAATGAGGTGAGTGACACTTGCACACTATGAAACACCTATAGAAATTGGTCATTTTCTTATGAAATGTGTATTTTTTTTGTGAAAGTTCTGGGTTTTTTGCAGGTAATTACTTATTGTTCTTTTATATACATAGTCAATAAGTAATGCAATCACAATCTGAACCCATGATTAACATAAAAAATCATGCTCTGTACTCCATACGGTTTATATGAAGACTTCAGAAACATTAGTTGTTCTTAACCTCTATTTCTTCGGCATAAAATGAAAAAGTACAAACTAGCTCACAAGGTTATGCTGAAGATCAAGTTAGTCTAAACAAAACAGCAAAGCGGAGGTCTAACATGGTAGATCCTCACTGTTGGTCGAATCTAAAATTTAGAACTATGGCAGGTTACATTTAAAAAGATAACTGGCCAATAGACATTCCATCCCACATGCTCTCATTACAAACTGCCATTGATGTAAGTCCACGAGGCAGGGATCTACTTCCTTTCCTTTTGATAACCGTCAAAACCAATACCAGGCAGCAGATGTGACTGTATGACTTCTATGGCTACATTCTTAGGCAACGTGGCTTCTGCCATGTTCTGTCTCTCAGACCACTCTCTTTGAGGGAAGCCAGCATTCCATGAGGATAGTCAGGAAACCCTATGAGAAGAACTGAGGACCCCAGTCCATGGCTAACTTCAAAGTACCAGGTATGTGAATGAGCGATCTTGAAAAAGGGTATTCCAGCCTCAGTCAAGGCTTCAGATAACTGCAGCCCCAGTCAACATACGTCTGTGATGGCATCAGAGATTCTGCTTCAGAAAAGACTCCCCAGACAAAGCTTCTCCAAAACCCTAACCAACAGAAGCAATGTGAAATAAAAATACTGTTTAAGCCACTAAGCTTTGGAGGTAATCTGTTACAAAGATAGAAAATACATTAAGAAAAAAAAGAACCATTGTTCAAGTTGTTCATTAAACTCTATATGGAAATTGCAACGCTATGCCTATCCAGATTCCAAGAGCAATGTAGGCCAAGTTAAATTCCTTAAAAATCCTTATTTCTCACTTTATATGCTCAAATGTAAGGTGAGATTTTTATTCCTCTAAGTCAACCTGCTAAAAAGAGGGAGTCAATTTATACATACATTTTAATAAAATCTTGCATATGTTTTAGGCACCAGGTACCTCTAAAGAGTTTCAATATAATTGTTTCATGATGTTGGAAATTGGAAACAGTCCAGTACTTCTATATTAGTATTTTGTTTTATATAATATGCTATTTGAAATATGCATGCATCATCAATGTTATTGAAATATTTTCTGTAGACATTTGAGTACTTCACTATATTCCTTAAGTTTATGTATTAAAATCAAAAAAATTTTCAAGCCCTTTCCATTAATATATAAGGAATGAGTTTTGAGAAGTGTCTGTTCATATCCTTCGCCCACTTGTTGCATTTATGCAGCCAAAAGACACATGAAAAAATGCTCATCATCACTGGCCACCAGAGAAATGCAAATCAAAACCACAATGAGATACCATCTCACACCAGTTAGAATGGCGATCATTAAAAAGTCAGGAAACAACAGGTGCTGGAGAGGATGTGGAGAAATAGGAACACTTTTACAATGTTGGTGGGACTGTAAACTAGTTCAACCATTGTGGAAGTCGGTGTGGCGATTCCTCAGGGATCTAGAACTAGAAATACCATTTGACCCAGCCATCCCATTACTGGGTATATACCCAAAGGATTATAAATCATGCTGCTATAAAGACACATGCACACGTATGTTTACTGCGGCACTATTCACAACAGCAAAGACTTGGAACCAACCCAAATGTTCAACAATGATAGACTGGATTAAGAAAATGTGGCACATATACACCATGGAATACTATGCAGCCATAAAAAATGATGAGTTCATGTCCTTTGTAGGGACATGGATGAAGTTGGAAACCATTATTCTCAGCAAACTATTGCAAGCACAAAAAACCAAACACCACATGTTCTCACTCACAGGTGGGAACTGAACAATGAGAACACACGGACACAGCAAGGGGAATATCACACACCGGGGCCTGTTGTGGGGTGGGGGAAGTCGTGGGGGAGGGATAGCATTAGGAGATATACCTAATGCTAAATGACGAGTTAATGGGTGCAGCACACCAGCATGGCACATGTATACATATGTAACAAACCACCATGTTGTGCACAGGTACCCTAAAACTTAAAGTATAAAAAAAAAAAAAAAAGGAATGGCTTTATAATTTGAGCACATAGAATATTTCAGGTTAGTGAATAAAACAACTAGTCCCATTAAACAAGATTTCATCTTTGAAAGACATTACTAAAAAAAAGAAAAGTCACAATCTGGAAGATTTTGAAGAAGTACAATTTGCGTTGCAAGAAAATATTCAGAACACATGTATCTGACAAAGAATTTGTATCCAAACTACTTAAAGAAGTTTTACTGCTCAAATAATGAAAAGACAAACAGCCAGTTAATACCAGTCAAAGGCTTTAACAGACACTTCACAAAAAAACAGTGTACAAATGGCAAATACATAAAATGATTATTATTAATTAGGGTAATAAAAATTACAGCTACCATGAAGTACCATTACACACCACTAGAATGGCTAAAGTTTAAGTTTGATAATACTAAGGATTAGCAAAGATATGGAGCAAATGGAATTCTCTCACGTTGCTATTGAGACTACAAAACGGAAAGGTCACCTTGAGGAACTGTTTAGTTTCTCATGAAGTTAAATATATACTTAGTATATGACACAGTAATTACACTTTTATTTGTTTACCGTCCAAAAATAAAAACACATATCCACAGAAAGCTCTGTACAAAATATTCCTAGCTTTATGTTTTTATGTGTATATAAAATATTTATAGCTTGATTTCTGTAATAATGACCCCCAACTGGAAAAAATCCAAATACAGAGTATGTGTTGATGTATCCATATAACGTATATTTCTACTCAGCCAATAAAAAGGAATAAATAACTAAAACACACAACGTGAATTAACATCAAAAACACTCAAGCAAACAAAGGCAGGCAAAGTGAGTATGTGCTGTATGGCTCCATTTAGTTAAATTCTGCAAGTGACAAATTAATCTAGAGTGGCAGAGTAAAGATCAGAGGAACGCTTAAGCCCTGGCATGTGGTGGTGGCGGTGGTGGTGTGTGTATGTGTGTGTATACGTGTGAAGGGGCTGTTATATGGGTGGGGGAGTGGGGAGCTATTTTGAATGAGAACAGGAATAAAGGGAAATTTGAGGAATAATGGCAATTTTCTATAGTTTGGTTGAGTGGTTATCCATGACATACATTTGTCAAAACTCAAACTAATAAAAGGTCTGTGTTCCATTTTATGTAAGTTATATCTGAAACATTATTTTAAGAAGAAAAATTTTTAAAAAATTAAGAGACATATTGACACTCACTGACACCAAATTTGACTTCATTGGTGTGGCCTCAATCTGACCATGTTCCAGTCTACACGTGAACTATGTTGTTTTTTTAAATATATGGGGGAATACATTTCCACAATGGAAAAGAACTTTTCTCCAGAATGAAAGAAGTTACTTGGGTACCAAAATATCATCTTTAAAAAATTATAATAAAAATCTGAAACAATATAAATGCAAAAAGGACTAGCAAATGCAGGGACAGAGTAAAATTTGTTTATTTGGAGATTGGGTCATGAGACTGGATTCCCCTATCAACTCCCTTCAGTTTCTAAGGGAATTGCAGAAGAATCCCCTTGTACTCCTGGCAGGGGAAGGGAAAAAGAAACCATTTTGAAATATAGCAAAGCATTCTGTTCTTCTTAACAAGGTCTGCCCTTAGGAGAACGATTTAGCCAGAGGCTAACCTACCGGGGTTTTATCAGCCCCTAACTGACCTGGGAGAGAGGAAATACACAAAAGCAGCCTTCTGTAGTTTTCCATGTGGGGGAAGCAAAAAACAGAACTTTAACCCGCTCTAGCTATCCTGCCTCACCTAAGTGGGGTGTGGGGGCGGGGTGAGGGGATCCGAGATGCACATTAAGTTCACAGTTCGGAGGTGCATACTCATTAAAAGATTGAGACATAACCATAGCACTACAGAGCAGTCCCTCTCCCTGACCTTACCACCATGATAATAAAGGCTTCTTTATAGCACTTTCTTTTATCAGTACACCATGTCTCATTATCAAGAAAAAATTATAAGACATTTTGAAAGGCAAAAAACAGTTTGAGAACAGAGAGAGCAAGCATCAGAACCAGACTTGGCAGAGAATGCTGAAATTATGACACTTAAAATTAAGACAACTATGAATAATATAAGTGCTCTAATGGATAAAGTAGACAGAATGTGAAAACAGATGGGAAATGTAAGTAAGCAAGGAAATGGACATTTTAAGAAAGTAGCAAAAAATAAATGCTACAGATAAAAAACATGAAGACATGGAAAATATACACAGATGAATAAGGAGTAAGGAGATTGAATCAGTAATCAAAAACCTCTCAACAACAACAACAAAAAGCCTAAAACCAGATGGCTTCCTGGTGAATTCTACCAAACAGTTATAGAAGAATGAATGCCACACTTTCTCAACTCTTCCAGATGATTGAGGAGGAGGAACACTTCCATACTCATTTTATGAGACCAGTTTTACTCTGATACCAAAGCCAGACAAGAACAATGTAAGAAAATTACAAGCCAATATCCCTGATGAACACAGATACAAAAATCCTCAACACTAGCAAATCAAATGCCATTGAACATTAAAAGAATCACACGCCACAATTAAGTGAGATTCATGCCTGGAATGCAAAGATAGTGCAACATAAATAAATGTGATAATGTAATTTCTAATAGACACAGAAATGGCATTTGAACAAAATTCAAGACTTTCTTAACAGTGGCTGAACATAATAGGTAGAGAAGGCAAGTACCTCAACATAATAAGGTCCATATATGACAAGCCCACAGCTAACATAATAGTCAATGGTAAAAAACTGAAATCATTTCCTGTAATATTAGGAGGAAGACAAAGTTGCCCAGTCTTACCAGTTCTATTCAACATACTGGAAGTCCTTGCCAGAGAAATTAGTCAAGAAAAAATGGAATCCAAATCAGAAAGGAAGAAGCAAAGTTATTTCTGTTTGTACAAGACATAATCCTATATATAGAAACCTCTAAAGAGTTTGCCAAGCACTGTTAAATCTAATCCATGACTTTAGCAAAACTGCAGGATACACAACCAATATATGAAAATCAGATGTGTTTCTATACACTAACAACAAACAATTTGTAAAGGAAATTATGAAAACAACGCCATTTAAAGAGCATTCGAAAGAATAAAATAAAAATAAATTTAAACACGGAAGTGAGACTTGTACAATGAAAACTAAAGAACAATGATCAAATAAATTGAAGACACAAATAGATAGATATATGTGTTCATGGATTGGAAGAATATAGGTAAAATATCCATACTAATCAAAGTGATCTATAGAGACAATGCTATCCCTATCAAATTCTAATGACTTAAAAAATGTGATTAAAAAAAGAAATAGAAAAAACAATTCCAAAATTCATAGGGAACCACAATAGACCAAGAATAGCCAAAGTGATCTTGAGAAATAAACAAATCTGGAGCCATCACACATCCTGATTTCAAAAATATATTACAAAGCCACAGTAATTAAAACAATACGGTTCTGGCACAAAGACTGATACATATACCAGTGGAGTAAAATAAAGAGCCCAGAAATATTCTTAGACATGTATCACTTCACCTTTAACCAAAGATTACAATAATTACAATGGGGAAAGGACAGTCAACAATAATTACAATGGGGAAAGGACAGTCTCTTTAGTAACTGGTGTACAAAAATCTGGATAATCAGATGCAAAAAGAATAAAATTGGCTCTCTGTTTGTCTGTTATTGGTGTATAAGAATGCTTGTGATTTTTGCACATTGGTTTTGTAGCCTGAGATTTTGCTGAAGTTGCTTATCAGCTTAAGGAGATTTTGGGCTGAGACAATGGGGTTTTCTAGATATACAAGCATGTCATCTGCAAACAGGGACAATTTGACTGCCTCTTTTCCTAATTGAATGCCCTTTATTTCCTTCTCCTGCCTGATTGCCCTGGCCAGAACTTCCAACACTATGTTGAATAGGAGTGGTGAGAGAGGGCATCCCTGTCTTGTGCCAGTTTGCAAAGGGAATGCTTCCAGTTTTTGCCCATTCAGTACGATATTGGCTGTGGGTCTGTCATAGACAGCTCTTATTATTTTGAGATACATCCCATCAATACTTAATTTATTGAGAGTTTTTAACATGAAGGGTTGTTGAACTTTGTCAAAGGCCTTTTCTGCATCTATTGAGATAATCATGTAGTTTTTGTCTTTGGTTCTGTTTATACGCTGGATTACGTTTATTGATTTGTTTATGTTGAACCAGCCTTGCCTCTCAGGGATGAAGCCCACTTGATCATGGTGGATAAGCTTTTTGATGTGCTGCTGGATTCCGTTTGCCAGTATTTTATTGAGGATTTTTGCATCAATGTTCATCAAGGGTATTGGTCTAAAATTCTCTTTTTTTTGTTGTGTCTCTGCCAGGCTTTGGTACCAGGATGATGCTGGCCTCATAAAATGAATTAGGGAGGATTCCCTCTTTTTCTATTGATTGGAATAGTTTCAGAAGGAAAGGTACCAGCTCCTCCTTGTACCTCCAGTAGAATTCGGCTGTGAATCCATCTGGTCCTGGATTTTTTTTGGTTGGTGGGCTATTATTGCCTCAATTTCAGAGGCTGTTATTGGTCTATTCAGAGATTCAACTTCTTCCTGGTTTAGTCTTGGGACGGTGTATGTGTCCAGGAATTTATCCATTTCTTCTAGATTTTCTAGTTTATTTGCATAGAGGTGTTTATAGTATTCTCTGATGGTAGTTTGTATTTCTGTGGGATCGGTGGTGATATCCCCTTTGTCATTTTTTATTGCATCTATTTGATTCTTCTCTCTTTTCTCCCATTCACAATTCCTTCAAAGAGAATAAAATACCTAAGAATCCACCTTACAAGGGATGTGAAGGACCTCTTCAAGGAGAACTACAAACCACTGCTCAATGAAATAAAAGAGGATACAAACAAATGGAAGAACAGTCCATGTTCATGGGTAGGAAGAATCAATATCATGAAAAAAAAATGGCCATACTGCACAAGGTAATTTATAGATTCAATGCCATCCCCATCAAGCTACCAGTGACTTTCTTCACAGAATTGGAAAAAACTACTTTGAAGTTCATATGGAACCAAAAAAGAGCCCGCATTGCCAAGTCAATCCTAAGCCAAAAGAACAAAGCTGGAGGCATCACATTACCTGACTTCAAACTATACTACAAGGCTACAGTAACCAAAACAGCATGGTACTGGTACCAAAACAGAGATATAGATCAATGGAACAGAACAGAGCCCTCAGAAATAATGCTGCATATCTGCAACTATCTGATCTTTGACACACCTGACAAAAAGAAGAAATGGGGAAAGGATTCCCTATTTAATAAATGGTGCTGGGAAAACTGGCTAGCCATATGTAGAAAGCTGAAACTGGATCCCTTCCTTACACCTTATACAAAAATTAATTCAACATGGATTAAAGACTTACATGTTAGACCTAAAGCCATAAAAACCCTAGAAGAAAACCTAGGCATTACCATTCAGGACATAGGCATGGGCAAGGACTTCATGTCTACAACACCAAAGCAATGGCAACAGAAGTCAAAATTGACAAATGGGATGTAATTAAACTAAAGAGCTTCTGCACAGCAAAAGCAACCACCATCAGAGTGAACAGGCAACCTACAGAATGGGAGAAATTTTTTGCAACCTACTCATCTGACAAAGGGCTAATATCCAGAATCTACAATGAACTCAAACAAATTTACAAGAAAAAAACAAACAACCCCATCAAAAAGTGGGCAAAGGATATGAACAGACACTTCTCAAAAGACGACATTTATGCAGCCAAAAGACACATGAAAAAATGCTCATCATCACTGGCCATCACAGAAATGCAAATCAAAACCACAATGAGATATCATCTCACACCAGTTAGAATGGCGATCATTACAAAGTCAGGAAACAACAGGTGCTGGAGATGATGTGGAGAAATAGGAACACTTTTACACTGTTGGTGGGATTGTAAACTAGTTCAGCCATTGTGGAAGTCGGTGTGGCGATTCCTCAGGGATCTAGAACTAGAAATACCATTTGACCCAGCCATCCCATTACTGGGTATATACCCAAAGGACTATAAATCATGCTGCTATAAAGACACATGCACACGTATGTTTATTGCGGCACTATTCACAATAGCAAAGACTTGGAACCAACCCAAATGTCCAACAATGATAGACTGGATTAAGAAAATGTGGCACATATGCACCATGGAATACTATGCAGCCATAAAAAAGGATGAGTTCATGTCCTTTGTAGGGACATCGATGAAGCTGGAACCCATCATTCTCAGCGAAGTATCGTGAGGACAAAAAACCAAACACCACATGTTCTCACTCATAGGTGGGAATTGAACAATGAGAACACATGGACACAGGAAGGGGACGATCACACACTGGCGACTGTTGTGGGGTGGGGGGAGGGGGGCGGGATAGCATTAGGGGATATACCTAATGCTAAATGACGAGTTAATGGGTGCAGCACACCAACATGGCACATGTATACATATGTAACAAACCAGCACGTTGTGCACATGTACCCTAAAACTTAAAAGTATAATAATAAAAAAAAAATTTAAAAAAAGAATAAAATTGCATCCTTATCTCATACTGTATGCAAAAATCAACTCACAATGGAATAAAGACTTAAATGGAAAACTTGAAACTGTACAACTACCAGAAGAAAACAGGGGAAAAGCTTCTTGACATTGGTGTTGTCAAAGATTTTTTGAGTATGACAACAAAGCACAGGCAACAAAAGTAACAATACACAAGTGTGGCTGTTAGCAGTGGTAGTTACCCATATGAGGCTGCAGCAACCTCAATTCTTGCCTCCTCAGAACAAAGAATTTGACTGAGGGGCATAAGGTGAGACCAAGGCAAGTTTTAGAGAAGAAGTGAAAGTTTATTAAAAATCTTTACAGCGGGAATGAAAGGAAGGAAAGTACATTTGGAAGAAGGCCAACCAGGCGACTTGAGAGACCAAGTGCGTGGCTTGACCTGTCAAGTTGGGGTTTTATACGTTGGCATACTTCTGGCATCTGGTGTTAGCTCTCTACACCCCTGAGATCTTACTGGGATGCTGCTCATTACCAGTTTCTGGTGTTTTCTATTGGAGACTGCCTTTCCCTGGTGCCAGCTATGACCATTTATTATTCTAGAGAGGCAGTTAACAGCTGCTTGTCCATCACCTGATGGCTGCCTGACACTCCTGGTGTGTGCGTGTGTGGGAGCCCTCTCCTGCCCTGCTCATACCTGACCAGCTACCTCCTGTAACAGGATTATATTAAACTAAACTAAAAAAAAAAAAAAGGAAAAACCTTCTGCACCGTTAGACAATATTCAACAGAATGAAAATATAATCTGTAGAATGAAATAAAGTATTTGTAAACTATGTATCTCATAAGGGGTTAATTTCCAAAGTATGTAAGAAACTCTTACAAATCAATGGCAAAAAAAAAACAAACACCAAACAACAAACAAAAACTAATTTAAAAATGGGTAAAAGACTTAAACATTTCTTCAATGTAGACGTACAAATGCCAACCAGGTATATGAAAATACCCTCAACATCACTAATGCTCAGGGAAATGCAAATGAAAGCTACAATTATCTTTTCCCTCACACCTGTTAGGATGGCTAATAGTGTATTTGAAAGGATGTAGAAAATGTGGAACCCTTGTACAATGCTGGTGGGAATATATGATGGTGTAGTAGCTATGGCATACAGTACAGAAGTTCCTCAAAAGGTAAAAATAAAATAGAACTACCTTATTATCTAGCAATCCCACTTCTGAGTATATGTCCAAAAGAATTAAAATCAGGATCTTGGAGAGATAGCTTCACCCATGTTCATTACAACATTCATGAAGCTAAGTTATGGAAACAACCCAAGTGTCCATTGACAGAAGAATGGGGAAATAACATATAATGCAGTATTTATTATTCAGTCTTGAAAAAGAAAGAAATCCTGTCCTTTGTGACAAGGTGTATGAACCTGGAGGACATTATGCTTAGTGAAATAAGCCAGTCACAGAAGGACAAATATAGTAGACTTCCACTTACATGAGGTATCTATAACAGTCAAACTCATGGAAGCAAAGAATACAATAAAGAATACAATAATGGGATTTGGGGAAACTGGGGAATTTTTAATGGGCATCAAGTTTCACTTATGCTAGATGAATAAGTTCTAGAAATCAGCTGTCTAACGTAGTGCCTATAGTTAACAATATGGTATTTTGGACTTCAAAATTTGTTAAGAGGGTAGATTTTATGTTAGGTGTTCTTTTCACAGAGAAACAAGAACAAAAACAAACGAATACAAGGAAACTGAGAGGTTGTGGACATGACTGTTACCTTGATTGTGATGATGGGATAACAAATGTTTGCATATCAAACTCATCAAATGTACACTTTAAATATATGCAGCTCTCTGTCAATTACACCTAAATACAGCTGTTAAAAATAAAGGAATATATTTTACTATTTTATTTGATCTTTTATTTTCATTTTATTATTTTTTAGAGGCAGAGCCTCAATCTGTTGTCCAGGCTTGAGTACAATGGCACAATAATGGCTCACTGCAGCCTTGAACTCCTGGGCTCAAGCGATCCTCTCACCTTGGCCTCCCAAAGTGTTGAGATTATAGGCATGAGCTACCACACTTGTCCTATTTTTCTATTTTAATTATGAGTTTGACATAGGATACATTGATTATATTTGTGGTAGGGTCTAAGTCATCAGGCCGCTTGGAATAACCCCTGTTTTTCACAGGGATGGTTAACTAGTGCAGAAATTTCTAGCCATGAGATCAAAGCCATGAGAGATTTGTTAATAAAACGTAGAGAATAATATAATCTTTGGCTCTGGTCCATTGGTCCTCGGCATACTGCCTCTCTAACTTCATGCCCTGGTGGCTCAGACTCGGCCACACTTTGAACTTACATACAAACTTCTGTTTCCCAAAGCTTTCCCACAGTGCCAGAACAAAGGGTTTTTCAGGCAACATACATATTGTACTTGAAAAACCATCTCTCTTGCCTTCTGCATCTTCTTATACCCCAATAAAGAAATCTTTCTCTCTCTCGGTCCAGAAGTCTTCCCTTAATTTTCATCATAGGATTATGGCACTTCTTTCAGGAGGAAATGTCACTTTGTTGCATATCCATCTGTCTCTATCAATACGAAACAGTCTGCCAAAGCATTCTTAAGGGCGAAAAAGAATCACACAACTGTGGAGGTTGGCAACACAACCAATTTATAGTTTCCAACTTCAACTGGGCCCTGAATAGTGCTTTGTCATTTTTTCCACTGTTTCCTTTTAACATTTCTTATTGAAAATGGAAAACTTGACTACTTCATTTAATCTCCCATCCCCTTGCTTGCAAGACATTACCTTTCATTGTAATCACACTTTTCCTTTGCCTACCTCTGCAAAGCTTACTCAATCCTAAAGAGATGTCAGTTTTTATCTCATTCCTAGGATTCTTCCTGACCTTCATAAGCAGAGTTGAGCACTTCCATCCTTATGCAAATAGCACATTTTAAAGACCTTTGTAATATACAATGCCATCACCGATATAATTCTTTTGTACATGTCTGCCCATTCCCTAATGCTAGCAATTGTGGAGGGCACTAACGAGTTTTCTTTTTTTTTTTTTGAGACAGAGTCTCGCTCTGTCACCCAGGCTGGAATACAGTGGTGCTACCTCGGCTCACTGCAACCTCTGCCTCCCGGTTCAAGTGATTCTTCTCCCTCAGCCTCCCAAGTAGCCGGGCCCACAGGCATGTGCCACCACGCCTGGCTAATTTTTTGTATTTTTAGTAGAGACGGGGTTTCACCGTGTTAGCCAGGATAGTCTCGATCTCCTGACCTCGTGATCCATCCACCTCGGCCTCCCAGAGTGCTGGGATTACAGGCGTAAGCCACCGCATCCAGCCACTAACGATTTTTTAATCAACTTTAACATCCGTAAGGCTCATGATGGTAGTTCTGGGTCTGCTGCGGTGGGCAGATGTCATTTTTGTTTGCCCAGAAACGTTAATCTCAGAAACCACATCTATCCCTTTTCCTATTAGTTTTGTGAGTTATTAGTCAGTGTGTCCTATTTTTTCCTCCCTCCCTCTAGACATAGTCCAGATTTTGTTAGTCATGTCCTATTTTGAGATGGATAAATACTGGGAGGGGAATAACAACGCTCCAGGTTGTTCTAGAGTTGCTGAGGGGCGGTGATACACTCCTGAGACAGCCAGGGACCACCTTCTCTGATTGTATAAAGTATGAATGCCACTTTGGGAGGCCAAGGGGGCAGATCACAAGGTCAAGAGATAGACACTATCCTGGCTAACATGGTGAAACCCCCTCTATACTAAAAATACAAAACTTTGCTGAGTGGTGGCGTGTGCCTGTAGTCCCAGCTACTTGGAAGGCTGAGGCAGGAGAATCGTTTGAACCCAGGAGGTAGAGGTTGCAGTGAGCCAAGATAGCACCAGTGCACTCCAGCATGGGCAACAAGAGCAAAACTCCTTCTCAAAAAAAAAAAAAAAAAAAAAAAAAAAAAAAAAAAAAACAAAGCAAAACAGTATGAATGCTGTAAGAGAAAAAACGAAGACTTTCCTGGAAACATCCTGGTCAATAAGCCCCACACAACAGGGGTAATCCCGCCTTCTCTCAATAGAGAAACAAACTGAGCCTTCTAGTCCTTCCTGTATTATGAGGGCTCCAGACAGCGAGACAGGTTTATGGATATCAGGACAATTTCCATTTACCTCAGACTTACTTCTTCAGAATGAGAGTAAAGGTAAACCTCTGACTTGTCCTTCACTTGGAGAAAGCCCACTCTCCCCGCTTTAGGAGGATCAAGAGAGAACCAGGGCAAGGATGTGCACTTCTAGTAATGGTGAGCAGGTATTTCAAACCTCCTCATCTGCTAAGGACAACTAGAAAAATCGAGTAAGAATTAAATCAAACTGGCAGCTAACAAGAAATTGAAAAATTACTGGGCCAAATCCAGAAGACGGAAATCGAAAGAATACAATTTTGAACTTAAAGATGCTGTTCCCCTGGGTGCATTTCCTGATTCCCAAAGAGGCTGAACTTACGACAGACTTATGGAACGCACTAGGTAGAAAAATCTAGGAGACAGTATCCGAAAAGTAAGGTTGACCTTGACATTCAGAATGAGGGTACATAGTCCAACTCACTTTAAATTGATCAAACCAAATCCTACAAAGACACTTCAAAAAAGGATACAGAGAAACAGCTCTCATTATCATAGATGCAGAAATATTAGCAAATCAAATCCCGCATATGGATCTATGTGTGTCTGTACCATGTATGCACTGAACCTGTGCTTGTACATGTGCAAATGAACAGATTCTAAAATGTAGTGAAAATGGAAAGGTCCAACATTATAAGAAACTAAGAAACACTTTTTTCTTAAAAAAAACTTTTAACATTTCCACCTCATGTTTTGATAGAAATTTCTATATATTTACTAAGTCAAGAAATAAAAATTGTATATATTTATCATTTACAACATGCAGTTTTGAAATATAAATACACTGTGGCATAGGTAAATTAAGTGAATTAATACTGGGTGGACGCAGTGGCTCATACCTGTAATCCCAGCACTTTGGGAGGCCGAGTTGGGTGGATCACTAGAGCCCAGGAGTTTGTGACCAGCCTGTACAACATGGCAAAACCCCATCTCTACAAAAAATACAAAAATTAGCTGGGTTTGGTGGTGGGTGCCTGTAGTCTTAATTACCTGGGAGGCTGAGGTGGGGCGCCTGGGGGAATTGAAGCTACAGTGACCTTTGATCATATCACTGTACCCCAGCCTGGGTGACAGAGTGAGACCCTGTCACAAAATCAACCAACCAACCAACCAATCAACCAATCAACCAAAAACTAGATGCATTACTATACTTTTTTATTGTTGTTTTTGTGGTGAAGGCAGTTAAAATCTACCGTCTTAGCAAATGTTATGAATATAACACATTGTTATCAACTATAGTCACCTTATTGTACACTAGAGCTCTTGAACTTATATCTTCTAACTAATATTTTGCATCCTTTGACCATCTCTTCCATTACCCTGCCACCTACTCTGCCGGTCCCCATTCTTGAAGAACAAGGAGTAATCTCTCTAGTAGGTAAGAAGACGTGTTATAAAGTGATAGAAATGGATACCATGTGGTATTAGGTTAAACAACAGAATGGAACATAATGTAATAGAATAGGATAAAACAGAATAAACCAACAGAAGTGCTGAGAAATTTGTTTACTTACTACTTCATATCATAAACTCACACAAGAATAGTAACATGAGATTAATTTAGTCAGTACATAAAAAACCATAGTATCTGTAAACTTTTCATTGATTATAATTTGAATTTATTTGCAAAATTTAGAAAAGAGCTATTTTGGGCAGAGTGGGGGTATAAGAGTATCAGAAAGATGGGTAAAGAAAAGAATCTAGAGACAGTTAAAGTGCAATGTAGTTTGGAACTCAAGAAAGGAAAGGAACAATAAGTATAATTAGTACATTATGATGCTCCCAGAGAAGACACTGGCTCCTAGAGAAGACAGTGGCAGTGATTTTTTAAAAGAAAACAATTGAATTCAAGATGCATTCAACAAATAATTATTACATTCCATTTTAAGAAAACATAAAATCAGACTAGTTTAAATTGAATTTTTTTACAACATGACTAGGCACGTGTCATCCTATACCATATATGCCACATTAGGTCTATGATCCAGGGTCTCAGATGACGTGGAGACCTCATTTTCTTTCTCTTTCAGCTCTATTTCATTCATGCATGAATAGGCACCTTTAACATTCAGTATCTGTTATATATTTTTTCCCACTGTCCCATTAGTGGACAAAACGCAAAAATTCCCTTCTGTTTGGGGCTTTCATTCTAGCTGGGAAATAGAGACAATAACAAATAACTAAAACAAATAAATTTTACAGTGTTTCAGATGGCAATAAGTGATAAAAAGGTAGAATGGGGCAAAGGGGACTAGACTAGGAATGCAGTTTAGTGTCTTTAATAAGATGGTGTTGCCTTTTTGAACAAAGACTTGATGAGTGAAGAGGTTGGCAAATGAAGGTGTCTGAAGGAGTGTTGCAGCAAGAGAGAGTTACTACCGTAAGGGCTCAAAGGTAGTGTCTCCTGTGTTCTTGGCAGAATAAATTCAGAGTAGTAGAAATTCAATTAGAAAGGTAATAGAGTCGGATGTGATAGGGCCTGGTAGGCCATGGTGAGGAGTTTGGCTTTTACTTTGAATGAGATGAGGGGGATGTTGCAGGGGCAGAGGGGTTACAAGATCTAACTTTAAGGAAGTTAACTATAAGGAAGTTAACTATAAGGAAGAATATGAATGGAATACTCTGGGGAAGAACTGCAGAATCAGTAGCTCAGTTTTGGATGTATTAATTTGGACATGACTATGTTACATTCTAGCAGAGGTAGTGAGTAGGCAGTTGGATATATAAGTGCAGAGTTCAAGACAGAAGTCTTGGGAAGAGATAAAAAATTAGTGTCACTTGCATATAAAGGGTGTTAAATCAAAGACACTAGATTAAATCACCAAGGAATTGTGTGTTGTTAAAGAGTAGAAGATTAAAGACTGAGACAGGTCACTTTAAAGTTAGGAGTCTAGGGAGAAGCGAATCAACATAAAAGACTGAGAACAAGTGACCTATGAGCTAAGACAAAGGAGCGTGGGGTGAGGCCAAGTGAAGAAAGTGCATCACTGAAGAGACAGGGAACACCACTGTGAAACTGTGCCGTTACAAGAAGCTGCTGGTAACCTCCAGAGAGGTACTTTGTAGGAGTGGGAAAGAGAATCATGATTAAAGATGGTTTGAGAGAGAAGGGAGGAATTCAGGTAAAGAGGAAAATAATAATCTTCAGAGGAATTTTTGCAGAAACTGGAGGCAGACAAAAATGGTACTGTTAGGGGAAATGACTTCACAAGTTTTGTTTCATACAGAAGCAGATTCCACACAACTTTTTTTTTTTCTTTATGAGACAGAGTCTCACTCTGTCACCCAGGCTGGAGTGCAGTGGCATGATCTCGGCTCACTGTAACCTCCACTTCCCAGGTTCAAGTGATTTTCCTGCCTCAGCCTCCAAGTAGCTGAGACTACAGGTGCCTGCCACCATGCCCGGCTAATTTTTTTTTATTTTTAGTAGAGACGAGGTTTCCCCATGTTGGCCAGGCTGGTCTCCAGCTTCTGACCTCAAGTGATCTGCCTGCCTTGGCCTCCCAAAGTGCTGGGATTACAGGCATGAACCATCGTACCTGGCCACATAGAACTCTTATTTAATGTGACCTTTATAAAAGCCAATGATATGTCACCAAAATATAACTCTCTAAAGGTGAATTCTCAAAGGCCACCACAATACTCCATAAAGTGTGTATGCATAAGCTTTGTTATAGTGTTTTTGGCATCATTACATCAAAAATAATATATTTATTTCCTGCTATCCACAGATACATATAATGGGATCAAAAATTCATTCAATGAATGAATTCATTGAAATATATTGTCCTTTACTCACTGATTTCAATTAAATATGTGGAATGCTTTGGGGAATCTAAGAATAAAGATTTATAAAAGACAATTCAAATACTCAGAAAAATACAGATGTTCTCAATATGTTTATAATGCATTGTATGAAGTAATCTTTACCCCCACTGTTCTTACCATACAATGGGCTGAGAAATAGCTAATATTAAACACCTACCCTTATTTTACAAATTAGGAAACTGAGACTTAGTTTATGCCAAAGACAAGCTGTATAAAGTCATAGAGATACTCTTGTCTTCTTTCTAAAACTCTCAGTTAAATTTTAAATGTAAGGGATGAACACCTTTGACATTTGTGTTTGCATTATTTAATTGAATTCACTGCTTGCTTAGTGTTTTTTTCACACACGTATAACCGTAGACTGAAAACTTTTTAAAAGGAGGAATTTTATTGCTGTTTTTCTTAAACTTGCCACATCAAATTTGGCACATGTGTTCCACAAATGTTTGCTAAATTTATGAATAAACATTCTAAAATATTATGATTGCTGGCGCCTCAAAGAAGCAAAGACTAAAAATCAGAAGATAACTGACTTCAGCAATAAGATATACTGAACTCAAATGTCTTTCTAGACATTGATTGCACGGAAAGTTATGCAACAGCTGAAGTACTGCAATAGCTCATTCTTTCCTGTCACCTGTTTTTCTCTCTAATTAAAACACTGTGACACTTGACAATTGGTGAAAGTATTTTTAATCTCTATTCTTGCCAAATCTTTTATCGTGGAACAGAAGACTTTTTTCTCCCTTCTCACAGTTACATTCAGGTTCTTTATTCGCAGAGATGAGACAAAATGGACTTCTTTACACAGCAAGGTCAAAGGGGTTACTTGGAGAGAGGGAAATGTATCATTGTAATATGGTGCCCACATGAAATTTGGCTGCAAGATACTTTTAACCTTTAATTCTTTTTTTCTTTTTTCCTTAAGAGAGAGGGTCTTGCACTGTTGCTCAGGCTGGAGTGCAGTGTTTGATCATGGCTCACTGCAGCCTCAACCTCCAGGGCTCATGTGATCCTCCTATCTCAGCTTCTGAAGTAGCTAGGACTACAGGCATGTGCCACCATGCCCAGCTAAGTTTTAAATTTTTTGTAAAGATAAGGTGTGGCTATGTTGCCCAGGCTGGTCTTGAACTGCTGACTTCAAGCAATCCTCCTGCCTTGGCCTCCCAAAATGCTGAGGTTACAGGCATGAGCCACTGTGCCTGGCCTAATCTTTAATTCTTAATTTTAACTCTTAGGTATTGACAAAAACAGCATTGAGCTCTTCGTCTTAACCTTGTTGACTTCAATTTCATCTGACCGATTACTCTCCTCCTATTTCACATTCTTCCTCCTTGTCTTTTGCTGCCGATTTTATAACTTTTGTTTTCTGATATAAAATCTTTCAACTTCTAATTTTTTCGCTCTCTAGCTATTAATAGTTTTTCTTGACAGCCCTGTGGGATTAATGACAGTTTTGTAAAATAAACGTTTCACAAGTAGCAGTAGTTTGAGAAATACTGTTTGAAGTAAATACTTGTAAAGACCTAAAACTTTCAGAGTTTCTGGCAGATAAAAAATGATTTTGTTTGAAAAAAAATGCGTCATCTATGTTGGGAAAACATATATTTTAAAAAGGACCTTTTGTTTACGTTACTCATTGTGTGCAGTTACGAATACCACCTATTGTTATAACAGGGCAGATAAACTGTGCATTTTACTAATAGGCTACTATAGGAGCTGACCAACCCACAAAAGCCCCAAACACATTTAATGATGAATTACATAGTAGGTGCTCAATGACTGTTGTTGATGAGCTGATTTATTGTGCTTGTTACTAATTCTTGGTTTCCTTGACATAAAATAGTAGTTTTCTCCTTTTTTATTGAGTATGAAATTCTCGTAACTGTCTATCTAACGGAACCTGGGAAGCTTTTGTTTTCAAGTGTTATAAAGTGTCAGAGTTTCCCAGGCATGTAGAGTTTTAATAATTGTTTCTGTAATGTTGCAAAGAACTTTCCCACATCTCATTAATATCGGCAGGCTCCTGTACCTTCCTTCCTTTCCTTGACTTAATTAAGACAGCTCCATACTGAGAGTGAAAGAGAAAGGCCGCAGTCTTATTCAACAGCACAACAGCTTAACCATAAGCCAACGCCAATCAGGAACATTAACTGTAAATGATTACAGCTGGCTAGCCACAGAATATCCTACCAGCTGTGCATACTATCTCTTTGAAGTCCTGAAGCACAGCCTGCCAGTGATGAGTGCTCAGCATCTTCACATGTGAATATGCAGCAATATTTTCTCTCTAGTATATATTTACCCTAACTCCTTCTTTACAACGTTCCCTAGAGTAAGCGTTTAAATTGCAAATGAAATTGAAAGCCTTCAGTGACTTGCCGTCATATGACCTCTTAGCTGGACATCTGTGGTTTTACAGGTCAGGATCCAAGTCTATGCTCCAGCCTCCTCTCTTGACACCTGATCTCATTTAGTCCATGAATCATCAGACTGAGCTACTCACTGTGACTTTGCAGAGTTTATCTTTGCCTAGATATTCTCTGTATCAGTCTGTTCTTGTGCTTTTATAAAGAAATACCTGAGACTGTGTAATTTATAAAGAAAAGAGGTTTAATTGACTCACATTTCTGCAGGCTATGCAGGAAGCATGGCTGAGGAGGCCTCAGGAAACTTACGATCATGCATGAAGCCGAAGAGGAAGGAGGCAGATCTTCACACAGCCAGAGCAGGAGGAAGATAGTGAAGAGGGAGGTGCTACACACTTTTAAACAAACAGATCTCGCGAGAACGCACTCACTATCCTGAGAACAGCAAGGGGAAATCTGCCCCCGTGACCAATTCACCTCCCACCAGGCCTTTTCTCCAAACTGGAAATTACAATTCTACATGAGATATCGGAGGGAACACACATTCAAACCATATCAGTCTTCCTCTCCTTTTCTACTTGGCTAATTTTCGCTTATTTTCAGCTCACATCTTGAAGCCCTCATGAAATCTTTCCCTTTTTTCCACGCAGTTAATTATTTCCTCTTACCATATATATGCCCCGATAACATCATAATTGTCATAGTCAGTTATTTGCCCGTTTCTTCTTCCTCAGGGGTGGAAATTAGAGTTTGTACCTTGTCCAGCCCCAAACATTTTGCCTTGTACATTGTGGATGTTCCATCAATACTTAATGAATGTGTAGCTCTTGCCAGTGTTTTCATTTTGATATTATTTCATAAAATACTACTCTCATATCTGAAATAAATTTTTTCTTTAAATATTTTATGGACCAAAATAGCACATAATTTAAGGCACCCTTTTTGTCTTATATAAGAACTTGTAGTTGACATGTGAGCATAGAATGAACATAGAATAAAAAAAATGAACAATAATTAATCCATGACATGACTGTGGAAGACATTACACATCCCATATGAAAGTTTACTTTGCAAAACATATAAGAGGCTTTAGTTCCCCAGACAGGCAATAAAATATCCTTTTCTGGTAGTTAGGAACATTGAAAGTCACAAAAGTCTTATGAGCCTAATGAAATCTTTCTTAATGAAGTTTAATTCTGCTTCTTGGTTCATTCCTCAGTGGTAATTGATAGTGGCTGAGTCTCATCAATCAATTAACAAATTAGCAAGTACTGTTTATTGAGTTCTTACTACACGGTCAGCACTGTAATTACAAAATTGGGAAATATAAGAAGTGTAACACATCATTTTTTTTTGCAGTTTCCATTTACTTATGAGATGCTTCATGAAAAAATCATTCATTCATTAATTTAAAAATATTTATTAAGAATCTGATTTGTTTTAGGGACTTGGCAATGGGCTTGAGTTACAGGAAGAAGACTGCTCTCCATAAGAAATGCAGAAATACAATCTATCCCCTCACAAAATGTACTCTTTCTGTTATGAACACTTGCGTCAAACTGTCCTGAGTTTTATTTGAAGCACACATGTTGGCCATATTCTGTTGCTGCAGTAGAAATATGGGTGATAGAATGGCATTGGTTGTTGTATGATTCAGTAATCTGTTACCATAATACTAGTACATAGAAAATACCCTAAAATCTTAGTAGATTAAAAAAACCTACTGACTATTTCTCTCAAACTAATAGGCAAGTTGGTTCTGCTGAGCTGGGCATGGTGGGGCTTACTCTTGTGGCTGTGGTTAGCTGTGGATTGACTAGGTGGCTTTGCTGACACTGGCAGGGCATGCTCAGGTGTCTAGGGTTTCACCTGGGATACCTGCCTAGACTGTGCATATTGTGTCTCATCTTCCAGTCATCTAGCCTGGCCATACTGGCATGTTCTCAAGTCAAAGGCAGAGGAGAAAAATGGAGAGAGGAAGAGCAGAAATATGCAAGGGATTTTTCAAGCAGCCTTTGCTTGAATCAAAGTTACTACTATTCCATTGGCCAAAGCGAATGGCTTGGCCAAGCTCAGAATCAGAGTGTATACCAAAGGGCATAGATACAGAAAGACATGAGAAATTTGGTCCACTAATAGAATCAATATGCCACACTAGAGTCGCTAATCACTGAGAGTTAGGTTCCAAGTCAAAGTGACTAGCACCTTTATGTTAAAGATTTTTTTCAGTTACTACCACTTTAAATACAGAAGGTAACGGAGGTTGGACTAATTCTGATTAAGCAGATGATGATCTAATGGAGATGACCAGAGGCCCACTAATAACACATGAGCATCCCTATTAACAATTAAGTCTTTCTGGGTAAAGATGAGGGTTACAGGGGTATGAAGAATCTCCCACCCCTTGCCATATCATGGATCTGTCCCTGAACCTCATGTGTGAACTATAGGTATACAGACATTTCTCTGTGCCAGCTGCCGCCTTTATCTGGTTCTTTTTGGAAAGGTAATTTACCATTATCATGCTTAATTGAGGGGACATCATACCCAGGAGTTCTGAGTTATTGCATTTTTCAAGTTACACACTATTGTGAGTTGAATTGTGTCCCTCCAAAAGATCTGTGGAAGTACTAACCCTCAGTACTTCAGCATGTGATCTTATTTGAAAATGAGTTGCAAATGAAATTGGTTATGATGAAGTCACAAGGGAGTAGGAAGAAACTCAACGTGACTGGCATCCTTATAAGAGGAGAGAAACACGTGGAGAGAAGAATCTGAAGGAGCAGAGAAATGCGGGGAAAGAAGACCATCAAATGACAGAGGCAGAGATTGGAGTGATGTGTCTACAAGCCAAGGAATGCTAAGGATTGCTGATAAATGTCAGCAGCTGGAAGAGATGCATGGAACAGATTCTCCCTTAGAACCCTCAAAAAAAAAAAAAAAAAAAAAAACAACTAACCCTGCCAACACCTTGACTTCAGGTTTCTAGACTCTGGAACTGTGAGACAATGAGTTTCTCTTGTCTTCAGGCACCAGTTTGTGGTACTTTGTTATAGCAGCCTTAGGAAACTGATACAGATTTTTGTTCCAAGAAGAGGGGTGTTGCTGTAACAAATACCTAAAACTGTGCAAGTGGCTTTGAACTTGGGCAATGGATAGAGGCTGAATTTTGAGGTGCATGATAGAAAAGCCTAGATTGCCTTGAAGAGACTCTTGGCAGAAATATGAACATTAAAGGCAGTTCTGGGGCTCAAAAAGAAGTGAGGAGGGCTGCAGAGAAAGCTCCTATCATCTTAGAGAATACACAAACAGAATGTTACTAAAAATAGGAAGGGTAAAGCTGCCTCTGGTGAGGTTGCAAGCAGATCTGAGGAGCATGTTTTTGTAAAATGGAGGAAACACAGCTCTTGTTATTAAGTGGCCGAGAACTTGGCTGAATTGTGTTCTGCTGTTCAGCAGTGAGAAGTAGAATGTGCAAGTAATGAACTTGGATATTTAGCTGGGGAGATTTCCAAGAAAAATATGGAAGGTGAAGCCTGGTTTGTCTTTGGTGCCTATTATAAACTACTAGAAGAAATGGATACATTGTAGAATTAAGTGGTAAGCAAAAAGGAGCCAGAACTTGATATTTTGGAAAAAACTTTAGTGTATCCAGGTAGCGTATTCTATTAACGGTCAAGGATGTGCCTAGACAAAAGTTTGCTACAGAGATTAGGTGTGTGACTCTTGTATCCAATCAACCATCTCAGCAGATGCTAGGAACAGAGATGCTGTTATCCAGGAAATATCTGTGGAGAGTCTTTGTATCTAATGGTGTGGATCTCTTATGACACCAACATCTACAGGAGAACAACCAATAGGGTCAAAGACCAAATTTTTGAGATTTTTATACTAGCAGAAACACAGCCAGCCTGGACTGAAAGGGACAGAGATGGAATAAAATGAAGGAAGAATGACTCAGGGGGCACAGCTATGAATGCAGAGGCCAGAAAGAGTACCAGGGGACAGGGCTCCTGCCTCCTTAATTCCAGAAAATGCGGCTGCCACCCAGAGCTGAGGGGATGGTGCTGCCCTAGTGGTCCCAGAAGACAGAACATCAAGCCTCAGTAAATTAGTCTTACGCCTCGGAACCCAATGGAATTTGTCCTGCGGGGTTGCAAACTTGCCTTAGACTGGTGACTCCTTTATTCCTTCCAATTTCTCCCTTTTGGAATGGGAATATCTATTCTATGGCTGTTCCACCATTGCATTTTGGAAGCACATAACTTGTTTGGTTTCACGGGTCCACAGATGGAGAGAGGAATTTTGCCACAAGATGGAGCCTATCTAGAATCTGACTTGTATATGGGTAGAGTTTGGATGATTTAGATCATGAGAGCTAGTACTTTTTTAGTTGGCTATATTTAGATGAGGTTTTGGACTTAGAATTGATGCTGGAATAGGTTAAGGCTTTTGAAGATGTTGGGATGGAAGTGAATGTATTTTGCTTCCAAGAAGGACAGGAATTTGGGGTGCAGGGACAGAGAGGGCAGACGGTTATGGGTCTTGCGTACCTCAAAAGATATATTGAAGTGCCAGCCCTCAGTAGCCCAGAATGTGGCCTTATTTGAAAATAGGGTCATTACAGATGCTGTTAGTTAAGAAGAGGTAATACTGTAGTATGGTGGAAACTTAATTCAATATGACTGGAGCTATAGACTGAATGGTCCTCCGCTCATATGTTAAAATCCCAACCTCCAATGTAATGATATTAGGGGGTGGGGCCTTTGGGAGGTGATTTGATCATAAGGGTAGAGTCCTCATGAATGGGATAGTGCCCTTATTAAGAGGAGACATGGGAGAATATATTCTCGCTCGCTCGCTTGCTCGCTCCATTATGTTGGGATACAAAAAGAGAGCTCTGTAAACCAGAACCAGTAAGAGGGACTTCACCAAGAACCCAACCATATTGGCACCCTGATCTCACACTTTCCACTTTCAGAACTACGAGAAATAAATATTTGCTGTTTAAGCCACCCAGTCACTGGTATTTTTGTTACAGCAGCCTGAACTAAGGCAAATGATGTCCTTATAAGAAGAGATAGACACAGGAGAATGCGACGTGAAGACATACAGAAATGCAGGGAGAAGATGACCATGAGATGGCAGAGGCAGAGATTGGACTGTTTCATCTACAAGCCAGGGAACGCCAAAGATTGCTGCCAAAATCCTACTAGGAAAGAGGCATATAACAGATTATCCCTTAGATCCCTCAGAAGGAACCGGCCCTGTGGACACTTTAATTTCAGATTTCTACCCTCCAGAATTGTGACAGAATAAATTTCTGTTGTTTTAAGCCATCCAGTTTGTGGAGGTGGGTTTAGAATTGAGTAATGGGTGGGACTAGCCCCAGGAGAGCTGTCCTGGGCATGGTAGCAATGTCTGAAGCCCGCCAGAACTAGAGACACCATTTGATCTTTTTTTCTGTGTGACCACCTCTCTAAGTACGGCACAGCTTTTAAAAAATTCTCAAAACCCACGTCTTATTTAGACCATTCTCCCAGGACTATTGGAGTTTTTATTCACTGTGCACCTGTGCTTCCAAGGAGTGCCAACATCAGTGATTCCAGAATGACTGGCTCACAGTATTTTTACTGTGACTGTTTTTGGCTACTTCACTGGCTTAAAAAAAAATCACACATTTCATGTCTATGCACCTTCTGGTGTGGCCACTTACTAACTATCCATCCAAATAATTTCACCTTTTGAGGCTTTGAGCAAGTCGCATCTCCTCTGACATTCGGGCAAGCACTGAAGCCACTATAGAATACATATACATCTGCAGCCTCTTCTCTCTTCTAACTCCTTCAACATTTATTACAAGTGCCCCCACGAGAGCCTGCTGTCAGCTTATTCTCTAGCTACCAAAGGGGATTAGGATTCTTGCCTATAACCATAGTTTCACTTTTTTTTAATATCCCCAAGGTGCCTAGTACATTTTAGGGAACATATTGGTGCTGTTAACTTGCTGATTAACTGATTCTTGACCTTTTCATCAGAGAAGGGCTTGTCATAAATCTGTGGAGAAAATTCTCTGTAGGTTTGTTCATAGGTGGTGGTGTTGCGGTGGGGAAAGGTATATAAAAGGGAGGGAAAATGCATTACACAGAGCTGGCAAGGTAGCTGCCTCTGTGGTCCAAGGACTATCTGTCCCAGAAGTCTACCAAAGGGCCTGGAATGGTTAGCATTAGTGTCACTTAATGAGTTTTGAGAGATACCGAATTTTAACTGGTAAATGGGTGACCTAAAAGATTGGCAAACTACCACAGGAGAAATGCTATTGTGTGAGTATTCATTCATTGCTTCAGTAGTATACAGCCCAGACGGAACAGAAGGTGAGGAAGTGAAGTTCCAATCATGAAGTAGTTATCGAGTAAACAAACAAACAAAAAACTCCCTTTGCTTCAGAAGGTAGTCTTTGAATGACTGAAGGCATTGTGGGGGCCTCAGGAGTGGATGGCGGTTAATCAGCAGGAAGATAGCAAAAGCCAAAAGGTAAAAGGAGAAGCTATAGGGAACATATTGCCTTTTTTTTTTTAACGGAGTTTTGCTCTTGCGCCTAGGGTGGAGTGCAATGGCGCGATCTTGGCTCACTGAAATCTCTGCCCCCTGGGTTCAAAGGATTCTATTGCCTTAGCCTCCCTAGTAGCTGGGATTACAGGAACCCACCACCATGCCTGTCTAATTTTGTATTTTTAGTAAAGAGGGGGTTTCACTATGTTGGTCAGGCTGGTCTCCAACTCCTGACCTCCGGTGGTCCACCCACCTGGCCTCCCAAAGTGCTGGGATTACAGGCGTGAGCCACTGTGGCCAGCCCAAAATTTTCCAGTTTCCTAAGGCTGACACATGGTGGGAGAATTGAGGTGTCCACAGTAAGGACCATTCCTTTTCCCTGCTGTGGTTCCCTGTAGTTTCAGGGCACAGACATCTGGATTCCTGCTTCATTTGTGAAAGCTTTAACGTTACAGAGAATTAACCATGAATGCATTTTTTATTATCTTTTTTTTTTTTTTAACCGAGCCCAGGGAGCTTTTCATAGAAGCAATTAAAAGCATCTTCAGCTTTGATTCACTCCTTTGCAGTATTTTGGTTTTAAATCAGACACTTGAGTTCTCTATAAAAATAGTAAGCAAATTTCACAACCCCAAATACACATTTTAAAGTCTAAATGTCCATAAATTATATTTAGGACAAATCAGGATTAGCTGCAGTGTGTAAGTTAAAAAAAGTCCCCATAAATTATGAATATATTTTAATTTGGAATTATTAAATGATTTTTAAGCAAATCAAAGTATTTTGTACTAACATGAAACTTCACTATAAGAAAAGTACTTTTTGATGCCAATATTTTTCTTCATGTTTAAATAAAAAGGAAAATAGATTTTTGAAACAGCAGGTAACCCTTGAAGTACTAACATTACTCCCAAAGAAACCATCCAGTCATTTCAGATTTATAACGCTCAGAAATAATCTCATAAAATTAAGGACCCTGGAATTGAAATTCTCTGATCTAAACGGATTTTCGTGTTTGTCTGGATCTTTCTGATTTGTGAAGACTGTAGTTTGAAACTGTTAAATTAACTTTAGCCTAAAGATGCCTTGTTAAATATTTTAGATTTGGCCTAAAGATTTCTGCAAACATAGTGAATTGTGAGTTAACTGGAGGTAGAAGCCGACTGTAACCTACTCTTGTGCCAATCACAGAGTTTTGTCCAATCACAGGCAGCTAACTGTTCCAACCGAGTTAAAATAAGACAAATGGTGTGCTGTAACCAACCCAGCTGTTTCTGTACCTTACTTCTATTTTCTGTATATGACTTTCCTTTTTCTGTCTGTAACTATTATCTGACCATGTGGCAGCCCTGGAGTTGCCCTGAACCTATTTTGGTTCTAGGGGCTGGTGTATTTGTGAATTGTTCTTTGATCAATTAAATGCTGTTAAATTTAATTTGTCCTAAATTTTTCATTTAACAAAACTGTTAAACAAGATAGAAAAACCAGGCAGATAACACTTCTCTAAATCTTTGGTACGGCAATGTTAAGTAACTGGCCTTTCCCAGTCAATCATTCATGCTGTTAATGCCCTATTACCTGGTAAATACGTTAACTATTTTCCTGAATACTACAAGAAACTGGAATATAACACATTACTTTCTGTGACGGTATTCAACCACCAGCCAAGAGATAAAGTGAATTTTATTTGAAGAGCGACTCTGAAAACTTCTCCATTATCTGTCTTAAAATACTGTATTGCAGATCACTAAGAAAATGAATGTACTGTTTTAGAAAATATAAAATATGATATCAATGTTTAACAGACAGAGAGACACTTTCCTCCATAATTTTAGCCCCTTTGCCCATGTAAAGCTGAGGATGCCAAATAGGTATGCCTTTTCATTCAGAAGGAAGGCAGGCAGCTCACAGAAGAATCCCTCCTGGCTATTTTGTAAGCCTAATACAATTCTCTCTGTTTTCTTGACATTTGCTTTTGACACCCCGACCAGTTTCTTATCTTGTTTAGGATCCCTGTGGAGTCAATCTAAAGGCAGAATGAGAGGAGAAAGGAGTCCAGTTGTTAAGTAGTGGCCAAGAAAGATGACCTACATTCCTGCTCCTGATGGTTAGGCCCGTCAACCTGGAGTGGGTCCGTGTAGGTCATTGCAAGGAGTGCAAGACGCAGAACTTGTCTACAAGAAAGGAATTTTCAAGGGGCTTTGGGAATAGTTTCTCTTGCTGAAAGAAATAAGCCATCTCTGAAGGAAAGAAAAGAGAAAGGTTTTGAAATAAAATATAAACTCCCTCCTGTGCATTTAGACTCTAAAGTCTGCAGGTAAACAAGACAGCAGGGAGCATTTCCACACAGTGTGAGGAGAGAAGCAAGGAGCAGAGATTACCACTTGTTACAGCACTTGACATTAATTAAACCTGTTTTAAATAAAGAAGGTATAAGATTATTTTTATATTGCATGCAATATTTACACTAATTATGCCAAATGCTCAAACCATTTTCTATAACTAACTCATCTGTTATATGAATTTACTTCATAAATTCATGTATTTTGGAATCCAACAGGATACGTCAGCAAAGGAGTCGAGCATGGCTTTACTCTGTGCGTGAAATTAAAAAGTCCTGCTGGAGAGAGGTAGTCCCTCCTTTCCACAGCAAATTCTGCTTCTGTTTCTTTCTCCCCTGTGGAATCATTAGTGAGCAACATTCCCCCATAGCACACAGGGGTTGGGAGTCATCTTCTCTGCTTTCTCAGCTTGTGGCCTGGAATATTATTTTCTGGGGCTGAAACCCTGACCAAGGGCTACTTCCTGTTTTTCATTGGTTTCCTGTATCCATTGAGTTCCAGTGCTTCCAATTATTAGGTTGGCGCAAAAGTAATTGCAGCTTTTGCAATTACTTTAAATGGCAAAACTGCAATATGAGCATAGTAAGATAACAATGGAAGTCATTCCATAGCACCTAAGGATCCCTGCTCCCCACTCCATCCAGGCATCAGCTTCTCTTCCAGGCTCTTGTAGCTGCTTCTCCTTCTCCCCATGCCTCTTCACACATGCCAAGTGCTTGACCTGGAAGACTATTCCCTCTCCTTTTTGCTTCATTACATCAATTCCAACTTCCCATATCTCTATAAACCTTTCTTTATGGGACACAGCACAATGACAATTACACGTTTGTGAACATGATTATTTGATTAACTTTGTTTCTCCTACTGGAATATGAACCTCACAGGGGCAGAGGTATATCTGTTTTGGTTCACCAGTGTATCTCAGGGCCTCGCATTAATCTCAGAGGCCTCGCATAGAAAAGGTACATAAAAATGTGTGAGATAAATGAGTAGATGAATCAATGGAGCAAATGAATTAATAAAAATGTTATTTCCATTTTAAGTATTGCTTCCACCTTTTGTCTCAAATTGTTCTTCTGCTCATAATACCCTCTGGTTTTTCAATCTTTTGATTACCTTCTTGCATCCATTGAGAAAGGTCAAGCCCTGCCTCCTGCATGAAGCACTTCTTTCTTCAATATCACATGTCATGGATATACGTGACTTTGCATTTCATGGTAGCTTATTCCACACCCCCACAACACTTTTAAAATTTGCCTTCCCTACAAGATTGTGGGTTTGTGATGACACAGATACTTCCTATCACACTGAGGACAACACCTGACACATAGACAATGCACAAATAAACTTGGTTTCTGGATTTCTTTGGGATTCTCAAGCTATATGAAATGGTACATTTATAGCTATAACAATTACTGCTCCCGTCTTAAAAAATATGGGTTGGGTTGAGTTAGGGAAGGGAGATGAGGGTAATGGCACAGTGACGATTGCATCTGTGAACCCCCAAAATTTGAGACAGGTCTCAGTTAATTTAGAAAGTTTATTTTGCCAAGGTTAAGGACACGCCCGTGACACAGCATGAGGAAGTCCTGATGACATGTGCCCGAGGTGGTTGGGGCACAGCTTGGTTTTATATATTTTAGGGAGACATGAGACTTCAATCAATAGCTATAAGAATTACAACTCAAAGCAGGGAGGGGGCTTCCAGGTCACAGGTGGGTGAGAGACAAATGGTTGCATTCTCTTGACCTTCTGATACACCTTTCCAAAGGAGGCAATCAGAATATGCATCCATCTCATTGAGCAGAGGGATGACTTTGAATACAATAGGAGACAGATTTGCCCTGAGCAGTTCCCAGCTTGAATTTTCCATTTAGCTTAGTGATTTTGGGGAACGCCAAATATTTTCCTTTCACACATCTGTCTAGTTAAGTCCAGTTAGGAAAACACAAATCACACAAGTTATTTTAAGAAAGGATTTAATACAGGGAATTGGTTAACCATCTATGAGGAACTGAAGAAGTGAAAAGGGAGCAATAAGGTAGCATAGTGTAAAAAGTAAAGTAGAGGTTCCTCTTCAAAGACTTTCCTTCCTGTCTAATTAGGAATAAATAGTAACTTCTCTTAGAAGCAAAATTTATTCAAAGACCTGTGCTAACATTCTTAAATATGTGCTAGCCGTAATAAAGAAATCAATATACTTTATGTTCTTAGCTCCCACAATTTAGCCTAAATATTTGCTTATACTGATCCAAGGAAGCATTAGATCATAGCCTGTTCCTCTTCCTTATTTAAAAGTGTTTTTACCTCTCTCAGCATTCCACAAGTTACTTCCTCCTTCCTTTGTTCTCCTCTACCTTTGCCTCTTTTAAAAAGTTCTAAGTTGCTAGCCAATAGGGACAAATACAGAATGTGAGGTCCCATTCCAGCCAATGGAAACCGGACACAGCACAGGGTGGACGCGTCAGGTTATAAATGACCCTGTCTCCTTTGTTCCGTGTAGTCTGCTGGCAAAACTGCTGGCAAGTGTACCCTTTCTGCAGGAAGTAAAAATGGCCTTACTAAATAAATTAATGTTCAAGTGCTATTTCTTTACGGCACTGAAAAACAAACATTTCAGGCCCGGCGCAGTGGCTCACGCCTGTAATCCCAGCACTTTGGGAGGCCGAGGTGGGCGGATCACGAGGTCAGGAGATGCAGATCATCCTGGCTAACACGGTGAAACCCCGTCTCTACTAAAAATACAAAAAACTAGCCGGGCGTGGTGGCGGATGCCTGTAGTCCCAGCTACCCGGGAGGCTGAGGCAGGAGAATGGCGTGAACCCAGGAGGCGGAGCTTGCAGTGAGCCGAGATGGTGCCACTGCATTGCACTCCAGCCTGGGTGGCAGAGTGAGACTCTGTCTCAAAAAAAAAAAAAAAAGAAAGAAAAACAAACATTTCAAACCATAGCAATAGCAAATACGGGTGGCAACTGCCATTCTCAGGGTTGGAAACAGAGGGAAGAAGTTGGAGTTACTGGAATCTAGAAGCTTAGAGGAGGGGCTTTCTGAATCTGAGACTCACCTCTCCAGGGAGATTATGCTGTTTGATTGGTGCTGGTATCTCTTAAGAGTTACAAGGATGCTGGTCTTGGAGTGAGCAAAAGGGTGAAAACTGGAACCGACTGCTACTGGAATGATCTGTGACTGCTGGGATGATGCTGATAGAGACAGGAAGCGCTAATGGGTCTCTCTCCCTTTATCTGCCTTTTCATCTTCATCCTAATGGCAGAGTTTAACAACTTTAAAGAAAAAGTGTAGCTTGAAGAATTTCCAGCCTGAGCATTGCAAAGCAGAATACAAATGGGTAGGTACAGAGCTCAGAGACAATGGCTTAATAACTGACACAGGGACTTAGAGGAAGAATGAAACCTCCTGTTCCAATAAACTGTCAGAAATAACACAGAGACTTGGAAAAATATATGTAACATAATAACCCTTATTTAAATTATTCAGTACAATATCACCTTTAATATTTGCTGTTTTTAACATAGAAGTTTCTACATAATGATTATTTTGGGACTAGTTTTTTATTCTTTCCACAGAATCATAATCAGTCAATTATTTCACCATGAAATTCTCTGGGGGAAAAAGAATTTTCTAGATTTAAGAGAAAATACACCCAGATGTGGTGGCTCACACCTGTAATCCCAGCACTTTGGGAGGCCGAGGTGAGTGGATCATCTGAAGTCAGGAGTTTGAGATCAGCCTGGCCAATATGGTGAAACCCTATCTCTACTAAAAATTAAAAAAAAAAAATTAACTGGGCGTGGTGGCATGTGCCTGTTATCCCAGCTACTTGGAAACCCAAGACAGGAGAATTGCTTCAACCTGGGAGGCGGAGGTCGCAGGGAGCCTTGATCGTGCCACTGCACTCTAGCCTGGGTGACAGAGCAAGACTCTATTTCAAAAAAAAAAAAAAAAAAAAAAAATCAAACAAACAAACAAACAAAAACCTTTTCCTTCTGGTCAGAAAACGCTTATTAGTAGAACATTTCAGGATCATGAATAAGTACTCAAATTATGAGAATAAAACTTACGCAATTAAACATTAAAACTGTGTGAAACAAGTGACTCGAGTTTGTCTTTTATAGGGTATTTGTCAAGGTGCTAACATTGTACTCCTGAGTGATAGGATTGGGAGGGGGGCATATCAATTTCTAGTACTATATTTTTCAGCCCTTCCAAGTCTTCCTGGATATTTTCTGTTCCAGGCCTCCTCCCACCCCCCCACCATTCCACACACACACTCAAATCCAATCTCCACCTTCCTGTACCCTGTTGTGCATCCTAGGACATGGACACCTAGGGACTTCATCACTGCTATGGTCTGAATAATGGTGTCCCCCCCAAATTCATATGTTGAAACTTAATCCTCAATACAATAGTATTAAGAGGTGGGCCTTTGGGAGGTGATTAGGTAATGAGAACTCTGTTCTTATGAATGGGATTAGCACCCTTTTAAAAGGGGTTGGAGGGGGCTTGCTTCCCCTTCCACCATGTGAAGACATAGCAAGAAGGTGCTGTAAAGAGAAACAGGTTCTTCGCAGACACAGAACCTGCTGGCGCCTTGATCTTGAACTTCCCAGCCTCTAGAACTGTGAGAAATTTCTGTTGTTTATAAATTACCCAGTCTATGGAATTGTGTTATAGTAGCTGAACAGACTAAGATAATTATCCATACTCTCATGCCACCTGGGTTCCAGTTGGATTTGACCAGTGGGATGCCCTAGCAGTAGAACGGAGGAGGGTAAGAGAGGGAGGCTGAGAAACATCTTCCTGACTTCCTGTTCAGCTGTTTTGTTGCAGTGGCCACCATCTCTTCTTGATTACTGCACCTGCTGTGTGGCCCTTTGCCATGGCTTGAGTACTCAGAGGGTTCCAATAATGCTATTTCTTCCCCTTAACCCTTTACCCTTAAGGGTAGCAATGGCTTTCTGCTCTTGGTGGTCTCCAAGCATCTCAAGTTCTTTGTATATTACCTTAGCACTTTCCATGCCTCTGGAAGTATTCTTTGCTTTAAAGTCTTTGGACTCATTGGAGTTGGATCGTGTTCCACCAGGAATCTGAAGGGTTGCACAGAAGTATCATCTAGATGTCGGTTGGAACATCCAAAATAAAGTATTGGCTTTATATATTTATTTGTGTGACTTTAAAATTTATTTTTGAATTGATACATAATGATTATACATACTTATGGGGTGCACAGTAATGTTTCTGTACATAAACAGTACAGTAATCAGAGCTGGGTAATTAGCATATCCATCACCTCAAACATTTATCATTTCTTTGTGTTGGGAACATTCGATATCCTCTCTTCTAGTTACTTGAAAATATAAACTATTTTTTGATTAATGCTTGTTTCAATAACTGGACTATATCCTACCTGAGGGCAGGAAACATAACTATTGTACTCTTTACTTTTCACTTAGTAAACACTGTGTCACACACAGAGTAGTTAATAAATATCAGTTAATAAGTGATTTCATTAATAAATATTTATTGCATTTATCTCATACTATGTATACTTCTTGGCACTGGGAGGACTATAGTGAGGAGACGAGAGGCTATGAAGAAAAAGGTGTCATCATAAGGAGGTAGAGAGTTATGGTGGAACAGCAGAGTATGATTGGAATTACTTTCATTAGGTGGTCAGAGAATGTCTCTTTATGAAAGGTAATATTTGAGCAAAAATATAAATAAGAGTCAAGGAAACTAAATAAAGTGAGAGATGAACAGCCCCCACTAAAACCTGCAATAGGAAAGATGCTGTGTTTGGCATTGAGTACTTTTTTTTAAGCGTAAGAAATTCATGGCTATTAACATGAAGAACAGTTAGCATAAAAAGGTAAAGTCAAAGGTATATTATTAAATGTGTAATGAGTGACAGAGATGTTGTGTGCTAAAAGAGTCTGAAGGAGGCAAGAAAGTTGGAGAAATGTTAAAGGCAGAGGAATGTCTCAACTGTGGCAATATACTTAGACAAAAATATAGGACAAGGACATCACCGTGAAAGTAAAAACTTGAGCCAAGACCTGGAGGCAGAAATGCTTCTTTCGTTGCAGTAAAGAGGTAGTGAAGGGAGGTAGAAAGGCAGTTACATAAAGGCAGAAAAGTCAAACGCCTTCAATTTAATTATGCATAATCCTTGAAGTGGAATGTAGAGGAATTACTCTGCAGGAGGATTGGCAACTCTGCCTTAACTTTTTAAGCCCCAGTCATATTGTTCTAGCTTATCTTTGAATATAGCAGGTACATTCTGCAATCTAGAATAGCAACAAAAAAAAAAAAAAAAAAAAAGAAGAAAAAGAAGAACCAGAGGATGAGACCAAAGCAGTGTCTAAGACAGTACATCAGATCGCAATGAGGAAACCAAGAAGAAGGAGAGGCTTGACCACTGGACACAAAGGCAGGAAGCTTAGAAGCCAGGTTGTAGGGGATGCTGTGATGTGCTGTCCAGGGTTCCCCTTCAGGACCAGGCCTCTTATTTCCCCAGCTTCCAGGAGTGTTGTCTACTGACTACTCAGAGCTGAATTTCTCTCCTGAAATTGTCCTCACTGAAGGATGCTGCTTTAGTATGGTAGCACCCTTGCACCCAATGACTAGTCAATGCAGGGTACAAGATTACAGACCCCTTACTTTGATTCAGGACAACTCTGAAGAGCCCTTCTAATTCCATAGATCCCAATAAGATCTGCTGAGAACTCCATTGCAACAGTACTATAGTTCAACCTCTCCCTCCACTCCATTCTGCTTCTCTTTCACCTTTCTCTGAAGAGCTCCACCTTATAAACCTCCTGCATGCAATTCGCCACCTCAGACTCTTTTGCCTGGAAGAACTGATCTGTAAAAGCAGGCTGATATAGGAACTGAGCAGGAATGAAAGAGTAGGATCAAGTGCATCAAGTGGAAAGGCTTAGAGAGTTGCATTTTATATACGGGGTTATAATGAAGATGATTAATTTTACTGGCTATAAGCCAATGATAAAATTGGTTTAAAAGTGGTTGAAAGACATAGGATCAGCAAAGGTAATTTTCTTTTGGGTATCAGCTTGCCCTTAGAAGCCACACAGAGCTGCATACATCACACTTCTTGAGAAAAAAATGATAAAATCATGGGCTGGTTGGGTCATCAAATGGCTTTAATACCTATTCTTGATCATCTTAGACTTCACATAGAATGATTCTAGATGTGAAATTACATAACTTTTAATACATAGGAAGCAATTAAGCATTCTAAAGTTTCTTAGTCTTTCAGAGTGGAAAACAACAAGAAGCTGTTGGTAACTCACGTTTCAGTTTATTGTTTAGTATCAGTACTTAAAAAAATTCAAACGTGGTTATTCCTTTATTTTTTGAACTCCTTGTACACTAACATTGTCATGATGTCTGCTTTTCTTGACTTGGAGATTCCAACTCAATGTGATTATTTTGAGTAGAAGGAACTAATAATATAAAATATTATATCCAAAAATTGCAGAGTATAAGATCTGGAAGAAACTTTAAAAATAATAAAAACTAGAATAGTTGTAGTAACTACAGTCATGACACAAATGTCATAATTTCCTAGCTCAGACATAATAATTCATTTTATGAGAACACTGATATCCAAAAAAAATTCTTGTCAAGTAATTTTAGGGTTTACCTCATATATATTTTGTGAAAAAGTCCTCTTGGCTTTGCCATAGTGTTAGACATTTCCCCCTTATCTCCAGTCTCATCTTGGAGCCCAAAGAGGTTGCTTTGAAGCCACACTTCAAAGATGCCCTGCAAAGACAATATTGCTTCGGCTGGTGCTCATTAAAGGTGGCTCCATTACTGCTTCTGTTTGTGTTGACCACATGGGATCTGCTAGGTAGCTGATGTCTGTCTACAAAGTACCCCCCCAGAAGCTACGAAAGCTGCTTTACCAATGCTAGACCACTGATGTAGAGTCCACATTTTTAATCTCTTTAATTGCAGTCTCTTTATAACTCCAAAATGAGTTTAAGGAAACTGGAGTAGGAACATGTTTAAAGATTTTTATAAGTTGTATTGAGAATCCCTGTTCCACTCAATCTTGGCCTTTGATGCTTATTATGCCTGGCCTTTTATTACTGTCATAAAGAGATACATAGTAGTTATGTAACATAGTAGTTATGAGCAGGAATATTGATTTAAGCCATTCATGGTTTTCAGACCCAGCTCTGCTATGGACTAAATGCCTCCATTTTGACATAGATCTTTAAAAGTCTCTCAAAGATTGTTTCTTCATCCGCAAAGTGGACAGAATCATAGTTGTGAATATCAGATGAAGTATTGTGTTGTTTCCCAAGACTTCGAGATTTAGTGAATCACTAAAATAACACAAAATAATGGGAGGAGGGAAAGCAACAAAGGTTTGCCAAGTAAGTTTATCTAGTGCCTCAATTCCATGAGAGAAATTACAGTTTATCATCAAACACATAGAATATACAACTGCATTTATCAAGGAAAAAATTGGGAACTTTATACATCTCTCACTCTCTGGCATATGTCTCCACATCTAGCTTTATATTGTTATATATCCTTTAGATGTGGTCTCCTTTGAAACAGGTGTCTGATCCCCCTTAGATAAAGGACCTTCTGCAAATCCTGCATTTGCTTCTGGGCATGATGTTTTGGTTTTGCAAGATCCTTGGATATGAATATCTCCAGAGGCATCCTGAGCTCAAAGTAACATACTTCCAGAACCAGCCTTCAACAAAACTCTGCCTTAGCTCAATCAGCACTAGGCCTTCCAAGATAGAGGGTAAAACTTAGACCAGACTGTCAGAATGAGACCCTGGCTATGCCAACTGCTCTAAATTCTAAAATCCACAACATTGATTCAGGCTTAGTATGTGGCATTGAATTTCATCATCCATCTTAGCACATTGACAGTGATATAAGGGTCTACATCCCAGAATGAAAGGCAGAACTAGATTTCAGAACTAGAGAAAAAGCTTAATTATGTTTATAGCATAAATCACAAGTATGGTCCAGATACCGATAATGCATCAATTTATTTTCTAATAAATAAAAATGCTTAGAGGTGATGGAGTGCTTTTCATCTTGAGAGCAATTTATGAACATTGACTAATTTATCATTATTTACAAGCCAATTAATTTTCACTACCCTGAGGTAGAAACTGTAATTATGCCAGACTGGCAGATGGGAGAAAAAAACTGGGGAGAGAATGAAGACAGAATTGTGAGCTTAATAGTCCTGAATTAAGGGGATATTTACAATTTGTATTAGTCCATTTTCTCATTGTTGATAAAGATATACCCGACAATGGACAATTTATAAAAGAGGTTTATTTGACTTGTAGTTCCGCATGGCTGGGGAGGCCTCACAATCATGGTGGAAGGCAAGGAGGAGCAAGTCACATCTTACGGGGATGGCAGCAGGCAAAGAGAGAGCTTGTGCAGGGAAACATTAATTTTTAAAACCATCAGATCTCGTGAGACTCATTCAGTATCAGGAGAACAGCATGGGAAAGACCCACCCCCATAATTCAATCGCCTCCCACCGAACTCCTCCCACAACACATGGGAACTTCAGGAGTTACAATTAAAGATGAGGTTTGGGTGGGGAAAAAGCCAAACTATATCATTGTTCAATTGAAATCCCATAAAATAAAATCTGCAGTGGATATTTTGGTAAGATATTATTTCAAATACTGACAAGTCATTCACTGGCTTACTGTCATCCTCACCTCCTCCCTCATTCAACAACTTATTTACTCAATTCATTCTTTTAACCAATGTTTTTGAAGTGCTCTAACAGGTACTAAAATAAGAACTTGAGTACCTTGAGTAAGATATATTAGCCATTCTCAAGAAGTTCATGGTTATATAAAAGAAACAAAAATTTTAGCAAATAATGGCAAAATGGTTTTATAATGACTATAGGATACGTAACAAGTGAGTTATTAAATCAAACTGGATAGTAGGGGCAGTAAAAGCTCCCTGGGTAAGATGTCGCTTCTGCTGGTGCTTTTTTTTTTTTTTTTTTTTTTTTTTTTTTTGAGACAGAGTCTCACTCTGCTGCTAAGGCTGGAGTCCATTGGCACAGTCTCAGCTCACTGCAACCTCCTCCACCTCCTCAGTTCGAGCAGTTCTCCTGCCTCAGCCTCTTCAGCAGCTAGGATTACAGGCATGTGCCACCACACCCAGCTAATTCTTGTATTCTTAATAGAGATGGGGTTTTGCTGTGGCCAGGTTGGTCTTGAACTCCTGACCTCAAGTGATCTGCCTGCCTCGGCCTTCCAAAGTGCTGGGATTACAGGTGTGAGTTACCATGCCCAGCCCACTGTTGCTTCTTGAAAGATGACTGCGTTTTTTTTTAGAAATAATGATATGGGGTTGATAGTGTTGATATGGGGTTGATAGTTCATGCCAGGAAATGAAGACTCAGTGGGCACTTGAAGCTACTGAACTGGAACTCAGATGAAGGGTTTATGCCCACTGTGAGCTGGCCTCAGTCCCTTCATCCCAAAACAGCTTCAGGATGAGAAACTCAAATTACCATCAGTTACTGTACAGTGGATATTTAGTAGGTTTCTCAGAGGGCACTGGTATTTACAACAATGGAAAATTTGCTTTCTCTTAATCTCCTTCCAATTGCAGAAATATGAATAGTGTAGAATATTAATCAAGAATATGTCTGTAATATTTTTGGAGGTGAGTTATTTATTTTTATATAGAAAGCCTGTTACTCAGAGCTCTTACTTTTCTTTTGTATTCCATCAGCAGCAGTAACTGAATAACTGTCTTCAAAAAGATCTGTGAGTTTAGATGAGTTCTTCAAGGTAAAAGTTATCCTCAAGCCTACAGGGATAAACCTCAAATGATTTCCTGTTTCAAATAAAAGAAAGGGTTGAGAGGCTTATCTAGGCATAGGTCTTTTAGAGTGTACTTACATAAGAATATAAATACAGTTTTTACCACTTCTAATTTCTTTTTTAAAAAATCATATTCACTCTAATGCCAAGTTAAAATGTCTATCCTATACAGATTGAGAATGATAAAAGCATACTGCCAGGATCTCATTACTGATTATGAGACTTAAGACAGCAGTTATAGGAAAGGTTATTTCATTGTTACCTTGTGTTTTTTTCAGAAGGAAGCTTACTTCATCCTTAAGCCAGTGAAATATTTACAATGCAAAGATACATTTGGACTTTGGGTTTGCTAGTGATACAGTCTCCCTTAGTGAATTCCAATTATTCTTTCCAGACTATTTGGAGAGAAATGTAAATCTGTTTCATGGCCTCCATGTTTTAAAGTGGTTTCTTACCAATTTATCTTAATCTATATCCGAGCTTTTTGACCTGGGTGTGACGTGATGCTATAACTTCAACTGTTTCAGAAGACCAACGGGCATGATTACTAATACTTTGTGGATTAAAATAAATTCCTGTAGAATTTAAAACTTAGTCATTTTCTCTCTGAAGAATTTTTATAGATGAGACATGAAAGAACTTTCTAATAACACTTACCAGCTGAGCAAGTGTTACATGTTTGTTCTCTGATTCTATCTTTACCTGACAACTATAATGGGAAAGCTATCTACAGACCAGGACCTGTAATTTACTATCATCGTGGGCTTCTAACCAGATCATATTTTCGTTTGTATAGCAGAGTAATATTGTTGAAGTTAGCTCCTAAATGAACCTGTTCCATTTCATACTTAAAGAATTTATTTCACCTTGTTTGAATTCCATTTTGTCACTCACACGATTTAGCACAAACTCCTAAATTGGCAAGAAAGCAATGACAAAAATCCCTAATTTAACATTGCAAGTTACAGTGTACATTACTTTCATATACATGATCTCACATGTATATTAACTTTGTACTAGATATCTTTTCAGGAGGGTCAGTGCTACACTAGTGAATTTATGTTTCAGATATTTTCCACATGCTTCACTGCAGTGTTCTTCACAGGCTGAATTGTGTATTCTAGCTTTCATCATTAGGCCATTAATCTTAATAACTTTGATGTGTTGTTGCTGCATGTCAAGTAGATAAAACAACGATGAAGACCATTTAATATACAACAGCATGCTGCTAATCACCTCTTATGGGGTCTGTCTGACTTAATCTTACAGTCATGAATTCAGGTTAGAGGTTATCAGCATTTGAAAGAGAAGGAAATAATGGATTACCCACTTGTAATTATGTGGATAATGATCAAATTTAATAGAATCACACTTTGTATGTTAGCTAAATATAAAGAATAATATTTACTGAAAATTACCTGTAGATCTTTGTTGATTAGATACAGAAGATATTGTGGTTGAAAATTGTTAGTTTTCCTGAACACAGATAATGGTATACAAAACAATGTGCTAACCATGATGGGAACGATAAAGTACCCGCTGATATTTCTGATGCATTTCCTCTGTGTTCTATATAAAGTCCAAACTTAGAGATAACTGGTGCATTTATCCGGGGTCCTGGAGTGATCCTTACGAATCTATAAAATCCCTAAAATTGTATGCTAAGATTTTTCTGTATATAGACATATTTTTCTTGTATGAACCCTCTTTCATCAATTCTCCAAAGTTTTCTTTACCTCAAAGGAGTTGAGAACTACTGAAATGGATATATAATTTCTTTGATAAAATATAGAAAATGACTTTTCCTTCCCTCAGTGAATATGTAACTATGAATCTAAATAAATCTAAATAACTAATATTAGAATTTTCTATTGAATAATACTATGTCCAAGTGAAATAGCTCACCATTTCAACTTTCTTTCAAGTTTTATTTGTCATTTGTTGCATAGATTCTGTTCTAGTTGGAGCATTGACTGTAACAGATTCACAAGTCTTTTCTGGTTCCATACAAAATAGATGGTATACTCATTCATGTCACTGATTTGACTCACATCAATTTCAGCATTCCATTAAAAAATCCAAAGGTCTATATTCTGGTTACGCTAGCATAAATAATTGGGTTTATTTTCATAATCATTTAAAAAAAGTCACTTCACAGGAGTTTATATATATAGGGTGATGAGCAAGGAATAACAAAAATCTGCATTGACCTATGGATGTGGGGCAGTTAGGTGGGTAATTTGCTTCCACGCCATAATCTCACATCATCTACTACTCAAATTTTTGCCTTAGAAAAATTGCATATCATATAACTCACAAATTATGTTACCCACAATAGTTGAAATTATAAAGTTAAATCCAGTAAGACTGTAGTCTACTGTAGTCCTAAAGTAATGATAGAAGCATAAATAATGATGGATTAAGAAACAACCAAAAACCAAATGACAATTCATGGTAAAATAATAAGGTGTAATCTTTTGTTTTAGATTTTAAAACTTGCTTTGAGGGCAATTTCAAAGTAAAATTAAAAATAAAGTTTTAAGCAATGGTAACCTCATTGCAATAAACATGTAGATACTCCCTAGGTTTTACTTTGAAGAAAAGTACACATTTGCATATGCAAATGTTGATGTTTCGTTGAAAAGAAAATTATCCTGAAAAGCTTATGAAGCCATAGCATTTCAGAGGTTTGGAGGTGACTTCCCCTGGTATGGTTAAATAAGGAGGGTAACTATAAGGAGATAGGGATAAAACTGAGCTTTGAAAATTGCTAGGATAGCCACAGTGCAGAATAGTAGGAAATGCATTTCTAGAGTTAGAAATGGAGTAAGCATGCACCCAGAGGAAGGAGAATGCCAGGTATTTCAATGTGATAATAACTTTGGTTCAAGCTATTTGTGGAGGAAGGTAAAAAAAAAACCCATCATTTTCTGGAAAATCAGGTGGAGATCAGATTGCCAAGGGTCTAATTCCAAACCTTCTGGGCTCTTTTGTCATCCATCAAGCTCAAGATCATTTTTTTTCCTTGGACCTCCACTAACATTTGCATCTGTATTATTCATAGACATTTATTATTTATAGTCTTTTGCCATCATTATCTTTTCATATATATTTGTCATTTCTCCAAACAGATTGTAAATTCTTGAAGAGCCCTTTTACCTAGGTGTTGCATGGCACCTAGATAGGTTTCTGTTGGCATATTGCAGTTAACCAAACAAACAAACAAACAAAAAAGTGGCTAGAAAACTGCCTTGTACTTTAAAAACGTTATCAATTTTGTAGAATCAATCTACACAGCACAATTCCTGCCTTACCTTTGCCAAATCATATGCAGAAAGAATGAGGTATTACATGGTGGAGGAAAAAGATTACAGGCTTAGATTTATATTCAGGGTTCTAATTCTAGTTATATTACTGGCTTTTTTTTTTTTTTTTGGACTTAGGCTTATTGAATTCTCCTCTGCTATCTCTTTTATAAAATTGGGTTATCACTACCTGTCTTCTATTTCAAAATAACTTTTTTAGAGTTAGGGTCACTTAGTAATGAAGTGATTACATACCTAAGAGGGCGTAAGACTTTATAATTTTATTATTTTAAGTGATAAACAGCAAAAACTCAGCAAACAGTGTCAGTAGCTGCAAATCAAAGGCTGATCTTTAATCCAGTCTTGTGAAGAATGAACATTTGACCCACTCCAGTCTGTTATGTCACATTGCCACAAAGGCAGCAGTCATAAAAATACAGGTTAAGGAAAGGTAACAATTAACCCCTGTGGACAGCAGTTTCTTCACCTGTAAAATAAGAGATGTAGGGCAGTGACCTTCAAAGACCCTTTTAGTTCTAAGCTTCTAGAATATTCTTTAGTACCTCAATAATTTCAGCTAGAGAAATGGGGGAAAGTCTAATTTTGCCCTTTATTGGTAAGATAGCAGAGCCAGCTCACACAAACTGGTGAGAGTGAATTATTAAATCTCCAGCAGTTTAGAGGGCCAATTGACACCATGGTAATAGCTAGAAATCGGCCAGAATATACCACAGAGATTTGCAAATCTACAAATCAGTATCTTCTCCAACAGTCGGTTGTTAAACTTTCAGTAGCCCATCTCTGATCCTATTTGATCTCACATCCTGAATTGTGGGAATTATACAGCTGTGCAGAGCAAAACAAATAGAAAAGACTAAGAGGGCCTGTTGGATGTACCTTAGAACCACAGGATACGCAAGAGGACCAAGCACTGTGGTTAGCAAACATCAGGCAGCTAGGTGGTGGGAGAATGGATTTTGGGCTTAAATGACTGGAGAATATAGACTTGCGTTAGAGCCTGTGAGTAGTAATGACCAGCCCATTGTGAACTGGGAAATGGACATTGATTCTGCCTTACCAGTTTAATTAATCACAATATGTAATTGTTTGTATTCAAATTAAAAATATAGATTCTGTTGTTATTCATCTGAGTATGGGTATAGTTGTTCTTTACATCTGTTTTAGAAATTAATTTGTCTGGTTGGCAGCTATTGCTGGTATGAATAAAACCTGTTTTCGAGGGCAGCCCTGTCTCTTGGCTCTTGGTGGACTTGTTGTTTTGTCTTGTTAACAAATATTTATTTCTCTGTGGCTAAATATACAACTTAGTCACCACCTGTTATGAAATTGGAAGCCATAGAAACATAAAAGTGTTTGAAACTGGTAAAACTTAAACTGTGATTAGCCCATTTCTAAGTAGAATGACAAATTCTATGTTTTTAGGTTAAAAGTTTGACATCTTCAGTTTATGCTCATTCACCTTTCACCTCTTGCTACTGGATCTGCTTCAACTTTCTTTCTGTATCTTAAAAAATTTCTCTTTATTCGTTGGTATTTACACTTTTCCACTTAAAGTGATATTAACATTCAGAGAGTAAATTCACTACCTGCTTTTCAAAGATCCTGATTTTGTTAGTTGAATCTCTTGTTTTGTTGGATGCTTCCATTGATTATAATAGGAGACTGAAAGCTGGAAGAATGTGGGCCAAAATGAGCATATAATTCCAGTGATTATCCACCCAAAATGACTTTTGTATACAGATTATACTATCTACTGTGTTTAGACACTGCACCTTTTACAAATTGCTTATAAGAATATGCTGTAGCTAAAATATAAAAGTGAATGTGATTTTTCTGTATAACCTCAAGATTGCCAATTTGGTAAGCTTGTGATTTTTTTTTTCTCAATATCTATCTCTTCAGGGTCAAAATTGTATTATTTCTTATGTTTTTCTACAGTTTATTTTCCCAGATACTTGAATTTGACTTGAAAATCTTAGAACATTACATTTTCAGATAGAGACATTCCAGGTCAGTAGAAATAAAACTCATTAACCTTTAATATGTCCTTGCTACATTCTGGACCTTGTGCTAAAATTTGTGCAAGTGTTATTTAATCTACGTGGCAAGCCAATGAGGTAGAAACTTGCTATGGATTTATCAACCAAAAAACAAAGATAGTGGAGAAAATTATCTCCAAATATTTTGAATTTATTGGGGAACAGGAAAAGAGGGTTATAATCCAGAATGAATTATGGCAAGCCACACATGTATCTGGTAAGGGAAGAGTAAGTAGAAGCTTTATTGGCAAAAAAGGAGAAGTCAATGTAAGCTGCTTGGAAACAGAGTTCATTGGTTCTGGTGGCTCAGAGCTAGAGCTGACAACAGTTCATTGGTGAAGGTACTATTACTGGGCAAGTGTTGTTTCCAAAGCATCTTATTCTGAATTACTGTGGTGCTAAAGAGTGTCTAGTGATAAACCTTCTTAGCCAGGAGTGGTGGCTAATGGCTGTAATCCCAGCACTTTGGGAGGCTGAGGTGGGTGGATCATTTGAGGTCAGAAGTTGGAGACCAGCTTGGCCAACATGGTGAAACCCCGTCTCTACTAAAAATACAAAAAATTAGCTGGGAGTGGTGGTGCATGCCTGTAATGTCAGCTACTTGGGAAGCTGAGGCAGGAGAATCGCTTGAACCTGAGAGGTAGAGGTTGCAGTGAGCTGAGATCGTGCCACCGCACTCCAGCCTGGGCAACACAGTGAGACTCTGTCTCAGGAAAAAAAAATCAAAAAACCTTCTCATAGAAATGCATATATGGGTATGAAACGTGAAAGTCTTGCAAAGCAGGAGATGCATGAATGATATGAAGGGATTTCTTGTGGGGTTTTAGAAAGTTCTTGGAAACAGTTCTTATCTCAGAGATACAAGTATGAACCTCCTCCCTTATGCTTTTCTTAACCAATTTTATCTGCGTCTGACAAGAGTGACTTCATTCTGGTGTCTGCCACTTTCACAGGTTGAATCGTGTGTCCTACCAAAGCATATTTTGGAGTCCTGACACCCAGTACCTCAGAATGTGACTCTATTTAGAGATAGAGCTTTTAAACAGAGAATTAAGGAAAAATGAGGTCTCATGGGTGAATCCTAATCCAATATGATGGGTGTCCTTATAAGAAGAAGAAATTAAAACACAGACACACACACAGACAGAAAGATGACCATTTGAAGAGAAAGGGAAAATATAGCTATCACAAGCCAAGCAGAGAGGCCTCATAATGAAACCAACCTGCTGACACTTCAAAAAAATTTTAATTTTAGATTCGGGGGTACATGTACAGGTTACAAGGGTGTACTATATGACATTGTATGACACTGAGGTTTGGCCTTCTATTGTCCTGTCAACCCAGATAGTGAACATAGTAACTAATAAGAAGTTTTTCAACCCTTGCCCCCTTCCCTCCCTCTTTTTGGAGTCCCTAGTATATATTACTCCCATTTTTATGTCCATATTTACCCAAAGTTTAGCTCCAAATTACAAGCGAGAACATATGGTATTTGGTTCTCTGTTTCTGTGTTAATTCTCTTAGGATAATAGCCTCCAGCTGCATCCATGTTGCTGCAAAGGACATGATTCATTTTTTATGGCTGTATAGTATTCCATGGTGTATATATACAACTTTTTTTTTTAATCCAGTCCACTGTTAATGGGCACCAACACTGATTCCACGTCTTTTCTATTGCGAATAGTGTTGTGGTAAACATACAAGTGCAGCTGACTTTTTGGTGGAACAGTTTATTTCCTCTGGGTATATATGCAGTAATGAGATTGCTAGGTTGAACGGTAGTTCTATTTTAGTTCTTTGAGAAATCTCCCAACTGCTTTCCACAATGGCTGAACTAATTTATATTCCCACCAACCGTACATAAGCATTCCCTTTCCTCCTCAGTTTTGCCAACCTGTCATTTTTTGACTTTTTAATGTTAACTATCCTGACTGGTGTGAGATGGTATCTCATTGTGGTTTTGATTTGCATTTCTCTGATGATTAGTGATTTTGTGCAATTTTTCATATATTCGTTGGACTCTTGCATGTCTTCTTTTGAGAAGTGTCTGTTCATGTCCTTTGTTGATTTTTTAATGGGGTTATCATTATTACTATTTTTTTCTTTTTTTTTCTTTTCGCTTTTTTTTTTGAGACAGAGTCTCGCTCTGTCACCCAGGCTGGAGTGCAGTGGCGTGCTCTCCGGCTCACTGCAAGCTCCACCTCCCGGGTTCAGGCCATTCTCCTGCCTCAGCCTCCCCAGTAGCGGGGACTACAGGCGTCTGCCACCAGGCTTGGCTAATTTTTTTGTATTTTTAGTGGAGACGGGGTTTCACCGTGTTAGCCAGGATGGTTTCAATCTTCTGACCTCATGATCCGCCCGCCTCAGCCTCCTGAAGTGCTGGGATTACAGGCGTGAGCCACCATGCCCGGCCATTACTATTTTTTTGCTTGTTGACTTGATAAGTTCCTTATAGACTCAGGATGTTAGGCCTTTGTTGGATGCATAGTTTGTAAATATTTTCTGTCATCCTGCATGTTGTCTGTTTACCCTGTTGAAATCTCCTTTTGCTGTGCAAAAACTCTTTACCTGCCGACACTTTGATCTTGGATGTTGAGATCCCAAATCTGTGAAAAAATAAATTTCTGTTTTTGAAGCCACCCAGTCTGTGGTATTTCATTATGGCAATTATTGCAGACTTATTTTGTTGGGGCAGCTGCTAGCAGACCTCGAAGTACTATTAGTCTTTTCATTATACATATGAATAATCTGAGATTTAAAGGGATTAGACAAAGTGTCCAAGACCACATACATGGTAAGTACCTGATTGAGACTCAAACTAAGGTTATTCATTAAGCAAGTATCTCTTTACCCTATACCATATACCAGGCACTATTACATCCAATCGTACAAAAATGAGGAGAAAAATTCCAAAAGAAGGGCAGAATCAAGGGATCCAAATTTTAAGAATAGTTAAGTAGTTCCTGCATCAAAATCAAGCACTATCTGAAAACAGTCTGCAGGTTGCTGCTGGAGGCAGTGGGGTTCTCTGGAATCTTGCTGTACCCTTTCTGGTGTGTTAGACAGTGAAATTTTACTGAGCCAAAATGTTGCTATTACAGGCCATGATCCCTTCCCTAAAGATCATTTGGAGAAACATAGGTCCACAAGTATTTTTCAAACACGTAAAAACAAAAACAAAAACAAAAAATAAGAAAGAAGAAATTCTTAGCAATCAATGTTGGGAACTTTTCTTTATCACTCTTTTGGAGCTTCTGCATAGCACAAGACTCCCCCAGCCCTCAGGCTGCAGACTGACAGGGGTCCTTGGCCTGTTAGAAAAGGGCCGCACAGTAGGAGGTGAGCTACAGGCAGCCAGCATGACCGCCTGAGCTCCACCTCCAGTCAGATCCACAGCGGCATTAGATTCCCATAGGAGCATGAACCCCACTGTAAACTATGCATGCAAATAATCTAGGCTGCGCGTTCCTTATGAGAATCTAACTAATGCCTGATGATCTGAGGTGGAACAGTTTTATCCCAAAACCATAAATGATCACAAGACTCTTATTTTCAGGTGGTGGGCGCCTGTAGTCCCAGCTACTGGGGAGGCTGAGGCAGGAGAATGGCGGGAACCCGGGAGGCAGAGCTTGCAGTGAGCCGAGATTGCGCCACTGCACTCCAGCCTGGGCGACAGAGCGAGACTCCATCTCAAAAAAAAGACAAAAAAAATTATCACATAGCTAATAGGCAACTCTTTGAAGTAAAAGGGTGTTAATGGTAAATCTTGTATTTTTTTTTTTCTCACTGTCACCCAGGCTGGAGTGCAGTGGCCAAATCTCGGCTCACTGCAACCTCCACCTCCTGGGTTCAAGCTATTCTCCTGCCTCAGCCTCTTGAGTAGCTGGAATTACAGGCCCGTGCCACCATACCCAGCTAATTTTTGTATTTTTAGTAGAGATGGGGTTTCACCATGTTGGCCAGGCTGGTCTCAAACTCCTGACCTCAAGTGATATGCCTGTCTTGGCCTCCCAAAAGTGCTAGAATTACAGATGTGAGCCAGCACACACAGCCAAATCTTATATTTTTATAATTAATTATTTAAATTGACTTTTAAAAATTAGTAACATTACAATTTACATTACAGATATCCAAATATATATTTAATCCAAATCAAGAATTTCTAAAGAGCAGTTTCAGTTTAAATGGGTGAAATATTAAGAAAGATTACATGGAGTACAAATTAGTGTTAATAAGCTTACATGTATACTTTAAGAATTAACTGTATGAAACTCATTAATTTGAATTAGAAATTTTAGAAATTTCAACATAATAATCTTCATGTTGTTCCATTACAATAATGTCATTTCTATGTTAGAAGAGGATAAGTACATATTTTGTTGAAGAGATAAATATAGTAAAAAATATGTGGAATCTTATGCCATATCTTTATAGTCAATTTTTACAGAAATCTGTATGCTAAGGATGGTCTTCCAAGTTATCACATATTAGGGACAGCTAGACAAGTGACCTGAAAATATCAGGAGTGTGGTGGATCGGTAATTCTTTTAGAATCTGACAATATCATGCTACTTACTTACAAATGCCAACCACATCTCCTAGGCAGGATTAATCCATCTGTTCTCTTTGAGCTTGGTGTATACAACTTCAGTCTGTGAGCTCAGTGATTTAGAGAGGAGACTACTTCATATGCGTCTTTTAAAAAGAAAATTCAGACATTTAAAAGAAGAAATTAAGACTTCTTCATTCTTCTAAGACACTGCAAACTTAAAGAAATCATTTTATAAAGATAGCAATTGGCAGTATTCCTTAAATATCTTTTAAAATATAGTTCAAATATAGTTAAACTAACATACAACTTTCCAGGAAAGTACTTGTTGCACAGAGTGAGGTATATCTACATAATATTAGATTTCTTCCCATAATCATTTTACTTACATTCAATTATAATTTGTATTTAGCCTTTACGGCACATAAACTTATTTAGTTATTCTGAAGTTATAATTATATTTTTGCCGTAAAATATTAATCAGTAGGCTAACCCTACACAAAGTAAATTATGGTTTTTACTATGTTATAGTGGTTATATATGTTCGGAAATAATGAATTTGAAAGTGTTTAAAATAAATATTTTGATTAATTAGTGATAAAATTCACGTACATACAAGTAATTAGTGCTTTTGAATGTGTTTAATAATGTGATGCTATGTAAATAATTATACACATTTATGATTCCTAATAAGAAGATAAACTGTGATTCTTTGGATTATGTACTATTTTAAAAAATTATGATGGTACTGTCTATATCATATAATGATTATATACAAAGAGTAACTGATTTTAAAACTTGTTGAAATTCAGACACATTTTAAGTAATTTTAAACCGAATCATTATTTTTGAGCTCTCCAAAACATTATCTTATTTAGTAATGTGCTTCCTTAAATTTTAGCTACTTACATGCTGTCCTACCCTATTTATGTTCTTATAAAAGAATACCTGAGGCTGGATAATTTATAAAGAAAAGAGGTTTATTTGGCTCATGGTTCTGCAGACCGTATAAGAAGCAGTGCGCTGGCATCTGCTCCTGGTAAGGGCCTCAGGAAGTTTCTACTCATGGCAGAAGGTGAAGAGGAGACGACATCACATGGAAAGGAAGGAAAGGAGAGGGAAGGGAAGTGCCAGGTTGTTTTCAACAATTGGCTTTGGCTAAAACCAACAGGGCAAGACCTCACTTATCACTGCAAGGACAGCACCAAGCCCCCATCAGGAGGGATTCACCTCCCTTGACGAAACACCTCCCACCAGACCCCACCTCCAATGTTGGGAATCAAATTTCAACATGAGATTTGGAGGGAACAAATATCCAAACTACATTACATGCAGACAAGAAAACATATGGAAGTGAAAAATACCGCTAGCATATCTAGGACTTGATATCATACTAAGTCATACGCAAAGCTAATTACATTTTATAATAATGGAATGTTACTAAAAATTTAGATGTGATTTTGTTAAATTTGCTTTCCACGAAAAAAACTACATCTTTTGCTTAATATGTGTCTATGCTTAGCTTTTTTTACCCCCTAAAACTGAAAGAAAATGTATTTTAAAATATTATTTTTTGGTTTAAGAAATTTTGGAAATGTTTCTGATGGGCATGTTGCCAATTTGAAAATGGTATTACTCACATAAGAATAGTTTTTAAAAATGTTAGATTTTCCGCCAGACGCGGTGGCTCACGCCTGTAATCCTAGCACTTTGGGAAGCCAAGGCTGGCGGATCACGTCAGGAGATCGAGACCATCCTGGCTAACACGGTGAAACCCCGTCTCTACTAAAAATGCAAAAAAATTAGCCAGGCATGGTGGCGGGCGCCTGTAGTCCCAGCTACTCAGGAGGCTGAGGCAGGAGAATGGCGTGAACCCGGGAGGCGGAGCTTGCAGTGAGCCGAGATCGTGCCACTGCACTCCAGCCTGCGCGATAGAGCGAGACTCCGTCACAAAAAAAAAAAAAAAAATGTTAGATTTTCCAGGGATTGAATGTCATGTCAGCTCCCCCTTCCGCCTGCCAAAACAAACAAAACACTAAAAAGTAAAAAAATAAAAAATGTAAGTTACTAAGGTCTTCTTTAGTTATAGAGTAGATATAAATTTGTCTGTCCAGGATTCCATTTTAGGGAAACCACCTCTTGCCCTTTCTAGAGCTAGCCTGTGCAGTCCACAGGACTTCAGCGTTCAGTTGTGCCTCACTCCCACCCTGGCTCTGAGGGAGGCAACTGTGATCTAAACCTGGCTTAAACAGAGTGACATACCTTCCCACCTCCCTGCTTCATTAATAGAGTCACACAGAGTCCCGTCTGGAGCTTTTGAGGTGCCTCTGTGATCTCTGGAACTTAAAGATCATATTAACCTAAAGTTGCTTGTGTTCATGCCTCTTCCAGGTGGAGAGATCCTCCTGGAGAACCAAGCCAGAAGGGAGGAGAACAGAGTCAAGAGCTAGAGATCAAGTTTTGTTGGCCATCTGGGGGTACCTGCATTCAACTGTGGTTGAAGAAAAGTGCAAATCCTGGGTTATCTTCTAACATAAATCTAGACCAAACTAGAAGGAAACCACAACAGAATAAATAAACAGAACATTCTTACTCATGTTGGTTGGAAGTGGGCTTCTGTCATTTAAAATCAAGAGTCCTGCTTGGCATAAACACATTATTCTATCTGAACACAAGGCTTTGGGAAATTGAAAGTAAATACACTGTGTTTAACAAATATTAGTGAGCTTCAAATACGTTCCAGGCAGTATCCCTAGGTAGATGGGATGAGAAAAAATAAATCTCTGTCCTTTTGAAACCTACATTTTAGCTGGGACAGAGAGCCAATAAGACAAAATCATAATAAGTAAATTCTAATGTATCTTACAAGGTGATAAATGCTAAGGAAAATTTTTGAGCAGAATAAGGAGACAAGAAACCATGGAGGCAGAGTGGGAACGAGTTCTGAAAACAAGTTGAAACAGGGCAGTTAGAAAGGGCTTCCCTTCTTGAAACAGGGCAGTTAGAAAGGGCTTCTCTTACAGGGTGATTAAACAAACCCTTAAAGGAGATGAAGGAGTTAGTAGGAAGATACCTGCAGGTGGAGAATTTCAGACAGAGTAACAAGCCAATATCAATGTAGAATCATGCCTACTATATGCAAGGAGCATGAGGGAGGCAGGGATTTTTATGGAGTAGCAGAGAGATAAAATCAGTAGCTCATGGGAAAACTGGGATCAGGAAAGTACTTTTGGGGATGAACCAGGGTAAAAGGAAAAACTGATGACATAGGAGATAGAGGAAAGGGAGCAATGGGGCCTAGTTGATAAGGACCAGTCCTAGGAGATGGAACAGTCAGGAATGCCAACACAGTGCACAGGTGCAGAAACAGATGAGCAGCAATCGGCCACCAGTGGAGAGAGAGGATGGATCAGGAAGTGTTGGAGGCTCAAAGACATAAAACAAGGTGTAAAATACATCTAGGATATGGGGGGAAGAAATGAGATAGGGACCTCCAGTGTAACTGTTGGGCTCTGCGAGGCCTGCTTCCAATGTGTTATTTATTGCAAATAAGGAGAGCTGATATAGTTGTTTTCTTCAATTATATTCAATTCTATAGGCACAGGCACAGAGAAGGCAGAAAGTTGAATTTAACCAAGGTTGTGGTTATGCTAAGGAAGTATGATAAATTGAGAAAGAGGTAAGCCAGCTGGGAGTGTAAGTCAAGCATCCCTAATCCCAGAAGCTGAAATCTGAAATGCTCCAAAATGAAAAACTTTTTGAGTGCCAACATGCTGTCACTAATGGAAAATCCCAAACCTGACCTCATGTGATAGGTTGCCATCAAAACACAGTCAGAACTTTAATGCACAAAATTATTTAAAGCAGTTTATGAAATTTCCTTCAGGCTATGTGTATAGGGTGTACATGAAACATAAATGAATTTTGTGTTTAGACTTGGGTCCCATCTCCAGGATACCTCATTATGAGTATGCAAATACTCCAAAATAAAAAATACAAAATACAAAATCTGAAACACACCTAGTCCCAAGCATTTTGGATACGGGATACTCACACTATATATGCAAGGGGTGATTATAATGTCTGAGAGTGAATTTTGAGCTGAGTCAGGAGCTTAATGGGGACTTGGGAGAATTGAGGTAACTGGTGAGATTAGAGGGCTGGAAGTACTGGTGATGCATGAGGGGGAGGAGGGAGGCAGTGGAGGCCAGCGGGTGGGATGCCACTGAGATTATGGAGTGGTCGCACGTATCTGTAATGACAAGGTCCTGAGTATGAGCATCAGTGTGTGAATGAGTGTTTGGGGAAGAAGGAAGGATGTGGTTACTGGAACGGGGCAGTTCAAGAAAGTGAAGGGCATATATTGAAAATGCCCCTTCTTCTAGCTGGAATGTGAACATATTTCTGGGTTTGAAAGATCCATCTTGGTTGGACCTTGAGGTGACCTTGGTAATGGCATCTGTTTAAAGCAAAGCAACTGACAGACCAAGCCCAAGTCCCTGAGGACTGTGAAGGACCAAATTGCTTCACCAGCCCAGGACTGCACATCCATTTTAGTCCTGTTTCTTGGAGTCTATTATTCACAGCTGAGCCTAATTCCAATGAATATACAACAAGCCATTGCTTCCATGACACCAGTTGCTCCTTCACCCCACTTCATCCTCCTCATTAGTTTAAAAGCCAGAATTAGCTTTAAACATCTCTTTCATCTGTTAAGACCCAGAGTAAGAATCAAGCACTCCACAAAGCATGACTTGGATTCTGCAGGCAGAATTAACCACTTACTGGGGTGTCTCTAAATTCTAAATTTTAAATCCCAAATTCCAAATGTATAAGATATCATCTTCGTATGTTTCTCACTGGGGTGTTCTGCAGATAGTGAGCTCTCAGATGCTGGTTGAATGAATGACTGATTTGACCCCAGCCAGGCAGAATAAACTCACCATGAACCTTTGATATGATAAAGGGCAGCTTGGAGAAAGACTTCTACAGCTCGCACTAGTGTTAGCGGATCAAAAGAGAAGTGGACTCTGACTTTAGACACGTGTATCAGAGAGATCTCAGGGAGAGAACTACTTCAAAAGAATGCAACACATTGAGGTTTTGCCTCTGAAGCGTGACAACTCCAGTCTGTCCCAGAAAAAAAAATTCTTTTTTTGAAAGCCTGGCTGTGTTGAAATGGCGAGGTAGAACTTGACCAAGGGCATTGCTGAACTTGTAACTATTTCTTGGTAGCGTAGTTAGTATAAAAGCAACAGCAGCATAGAACTCTCAATGGGATACTATTAAAAGGCAGCTGTTAAGGGGTAGGTGAGGGAAACAGTGTTCTAAGACAAGCCAGAGGAGCTACTGCAGGTAATCCTTCATCTGAGAAAACCCCCAATTTACAAAGACACTTACATAAAAATACGTCACAAGAGGAGATGCACCTCAGGTTAAAGTTTGCATAATATTTTCGCCAGAGCAATACTATTTAAACGACATTGGGGCTTGTCATATTATTAATAAAGCATTCTAGCTAGTCTTTTGTAGTTTATTCTGGGAATATAACAACCACTGGTGGATGCAATGAAAACTGGTTCTGAGTTTAAATCAACCAGTTCTCTTCCAGCAATGCTCAGCAAAGATGCTTGCTGCTTGCTCTACCTATTGCCCTTTTATTTTTGTTTGACTCTGCAGCACTTTCTAATCTGAGTACTTAATTTCTCTCTATATTTTATCTGCTACATTTTGATAGTTTGCTGCTTATTCTAGTTCTTTTGTTCTTTTTTCTTTTTTTCCAAAAAAGGAGGTTTTCTTTGGCTCCATTTGAACAGGAAGACCAATTTTTACTTGGGGCTTAAGCTAAAAACAATTTCCTACCCACTCTTGGTGAATGCCAGGATACCGTTTGTGAATCATATTAATTATTTTCCACTTTCATCCAATGACAGTAGTTACAGTGTATGCCCTTCACACCAATTGTAATACGGGAATGAGCACATTTGCATCAGGATGCAAAAAGAAAACCATCAATCTAGTGTACGTTTTTACAGTTTTTAAGCTTTGTATACATGCTGGAATTAAGGGGACTTTCCCCTACCTCAGTGTAGGTCATGAAAGCTCCAAGACTCTACTTTTCCAAGAAAACTTGATTTCTCCCCACCTGATGTCCCCTGTCACACTTCCTTTATCATTTTATTTGAAAATTGCTTAATTTTCTCAGCCCATTTTATCTAAATCCATAGGACTTGTCTACATAACTGAAGTTTAATTTCAAAACACTTTCATCACGCAAATGCCTCCAGTATTTACTAAGAATCTGCAGTGTGCACAGAATTATAATATACACTGGGAGCGAGAAGGTGATTGAGTTTAGGGGAAGACAGTCTTATCTTGGCCTAGAGACCTGCAGCTCACCTCAAGCATACTGACATACAAGAATCTGTATGAAAAGTTCTTAAAATATAAAATTTCAACCAAAGCATTTCAAATGATGTGCTGGTGCTCAAAAGGGAGAGGTTAAGTTTTGTAGCATGACCTAGGTTGGCAGAATTTTGTCTGGAGCTTCTAAATAAGAAATTATAAATGCATATTTTCCCATAATACAGATTCAGCTCGCATTGCAGTTTAATAAAACCTTATTTTTCTTCTACCTAATAATTTGATATCCCAGAAGCCATTCAGTTGCCAAGAAACAGACCAACAAATCACTAGCAGATACATTTTATGAAACCGTCATATACCTCACAGTTGATGACAGTTTTGTAAAAACATTCCTGAATCTTTAAGGGTTTCATTTATAGCAAGCTGTAATAAAATTAATGTGAGTTATTCTCAGATTTTTTAATAAGTAAAGGACAAGCAAATCATGGAAATCAATACTAACCATATCAGTATTTTTCTAAAGACTCAATAGAAATAAAACAACCAACCAACCACCCAATCAACACCACATGCCACCAGATGCGTACACACACACACACACACACACACACACACACACACACACACACACACACTTTGCTTCACTTGTATAACCAAAAGCCACAGATTCTGCTGAAATCATAATTTCCCTTGTGGGATAAGTTTGCTAAAGCTGCCATAATAAATACTACAGGCTGGGAGGGGAGGCTTAAGTACATCTATTTTCTCACAATTCTGGAGGCTGGAAGTCCAAGGTTAAGGTTTAAGCAGGTTTGGTTTCTCTTAAGACCTCTATCCTTAGCTTGCAGATGGACACCTTCTGGCTGTGTCCTTCATGGCCTTTCCTCTGTGCAAAAGTATATCATGTGTCTTTTGCCTTCCTATAGGGACACCAGTCATATTGGATTAGGGTCTCACCCTTTAGACCGCATTTAAAGGCCCTATCTCCATGCTGAGGTGTTAGGGGTTAGGACTTGAACAAATTAATTTTGGGGGAGACACAGTTTGGTCCAGAACTCTAGTTGTTTGAATTGACTAGTACATCTATTGTCTTTTCTAGGCACTTTTAAAACAATACATTGCGACTTTACATTGTAGTTTGTAGAAAAGGAGATGAAATTATTTATTCATTTATTTATTTATTTTTGAGATGGAGTATTGCTCTGTAACCAGACTGGAGGGCAGTGGCATGATCTTGGCTCACCAAAACTTCCGCCTCCAGAGTTCAAGCTATTCTCCTGCCTCAGCCTCCGGAGTAGCTGGGATTACAGGCACGTGCCACCACACCCAGCTAATTCTTGTATTGCTATTGGAGATGGGGTTTCACCATCTTGGCCAGGATGGTCTTGATCTCTTGACCTCGTGATCCACCCACCTCGGCCTCCCTAAGTGCTGGGATGACAGGCATGAGCCACCGTGTCCGGCCGAAATTCTTTATTTATAAAATAAGAAAGTTTACTGTGACTTATTGCTGCAAGGCTTGCCCATACAATACCTATCCTAAAGTTTACCAGTTCTTTCCAGCACATATTTGCTTTCTAAGAGAAGCTAGGAAGATGAAAACAGATATTCGTATAAGAAGGTGAACTTGTGGAATTTAGTGCAGGCTACAACTGCTGTATAGAGGTGTCACTGGGGACTGTGTTGTGTGGGATACAGACCAGAGATGAAGAGGAGGGAGGATTACAGGCAGATGTGGGCCTGAGTCTGGAGTCTCCCTGGTCACATGACCTTGATCAAACAAAGTCTCAGTCTTCATTTATCACACCTTTACGAGAAGTGATAAATTTCTAGAAAAATGACAGTATTCTATATCCAAAAGCAAGTTTATTATTTCCTCTAGACCCATATTAATGGCAGTCTTTATATTTACTTCTTAAAATATTTTGTCATCTCCATTCATCAACTGTAAATTATAATCATTATTAAATGCCTATTGTTTACTAGCACTAAACAGATGGCTATGTATATAAAACAAACTAATATATATATATATATTTGCTTTCAGTAAGCTTTCATATTCTATTGGGGGAAAGGGCATACAAATATTTTTCCACATATTACTTATATTAAACATTCACTTATAATATCTAAAGTAAATTCAAATAGCTCAATATCTACTTGAGCGTCTGCGCTACGCTAGGCCCTATGTTAGGAGCCAGGGTTACAAATTTGTGGTGCTTCAAGAAGAATTATTGATCTTGTTCTTATTCGAAGAACCAGCCTTACCATTTATTTTTTTTTAAAGGTCTAGATTCACTTATGCCAGATAGTTTTCGATTTCTGCCATAGTTTATAGTAATCTTAAATTCATAAGTTTATAATGGAGTCAACAGTATTCTGTCTAAAGGTGTTTGGGCACGTACATATTTAAATTGACACCGTAATCATATAATTTCACAAATTTCCACCATTTTTATTGCATAAAAATCTTGTAATCATTCCAAAGTATTGTACAGTTTTAAGATATTGATGAAATCCCATCGAATTTACGGCAATATTCCTTTCATGAATTTGCTTCAAATGAGTCTATGGACCACTGTAATAGTAGAAATTAACCAATTAGTCAATGTTTTGTATTCAAATTGTGCCCTAAATAAATAATCTTGTGACATAAAAAATATTTCAATTAATATCTTCTTGGGTGTGGTGGCTCCCATTCATTCATTCAATCATTCAACAAATACTTTTTGACTGTTGTATTTACTGTTTCAGAAACTATGCTGGGCGCCCCCTTCTGGTAACTGAAAAACAAGCAAAATAGGGAATGGTGTAGGCCCGCTTTTGTGAAAAGTACCATATTTTTTTCCTGCTAAAATGACCATTGTAATAGAATTTTTGAAAAATAACATTTAGTAATTTAACATAAAATATTAAAGTTATGAAATTTATTTAACACATTTAGTATTTTGAAATTAATTCTTGCTTTTTTTCTTTCCACTTAAGCTAAGCTGTTCGCTTGTGGTCCTGTACATAAGTGCAGTGGCCAAAGTTCCCAGCAGATGGCAATATACAGCGATTGACAGCTGCACTCAAGCCAAGTTGTCCCATTTCTCAGTCTTCATTCCAATTTGTGTGCTTTGTAACAAGGCTATAAATATTACTCCCAGAAACTGACTAGACACTCGAGGGCATTGAAGTTATCTGATAGGGTTCATAAGGGTTTGTTTTCATCTGTAGACTCATGTATGTGAAGAGTTGAGTATGACAAGAGAGAATTAAAGAAATACATTTTTATTCTTTAATTTTTCAGTTTGTTATAAAAATAATCAAAGTGCCTTTAGTAAGGATTAAAATTAAAGCCTCCCTCTACAATTTCGGTTAAAGGTGTATAGTTTTTGCTTTTGTTATAACAGAACAAACCTATAAAAGAAATGAAGAATGTGGCGGTGGTGAGCACAAAATCATGCAATTTTGTTTGGGAGAGAAATATAGGAAGACATTAATGAAAGAGCTATAAAATAAATACTATACGAGTACAGAGCAGCTATTTGATTAGAAATTTATCTTAGGAGGTTTGACCTACTTTTCTCTGAATTAAATGAAACCTCCTAAAGATATTTTAAACACACATAGCACTTTTAGAAATATAGCTATTTTTTTCTTTAAAATCTTTAATGTAGTTTGCTTAAAATGCTGTATTTTGGAGTTTGTACTCATAAAAGAATGTTGTCACAGAAAATAGTATATAATGAGGACAGGTAAAAGAGAATGAGTGAATTACAGAAAATGCAGATTACTTAAAAGAATATTACAAAAATTCTTATAAATAAGAAATAGTAGTAAACTTCTGGGAGATTTTTTTGTTGAAGAGTCTTATTTAATTTGCCCACATTTGGGGGCATAGGAGTTATATATCGTACAATTTCAAATAGGAGAATTAGACTCTTGTTTGATGGTGTTCGCTGTTGAAATCAAGCAGTATATGCCTGCCTGTAGAAGGCTGGCTGTCTGCTTGCCTCTCAAGAGGCCTCATGAGCTGGAATTCATTACCTAATTTTATCAACACACCAAAAAGAGATCTACCTCTTTGAGATGGACTACTTATTAACCAAACACCTGAGACAGATATATGAAAACATAATGTCAATTTGTTTTATTCACAATGAGCAGTCCATGTTGTGAGAACCGGAATCTTTGTGCTGGATCATATAATTTTCTCCCTCTGGGCAGAATTACTTCAGAGGACAAATTATAATTGCAAGGTTTCTTGGTGATTATGTGTTTTAGGATACTGTTTAAATCAGACGTAGTCCTAATCTGGGTTCTTTTAAAATAGCAATGAATGTGAAATTTCATGATACCAAGAAACCCAAAGATCAGTCAAAATGTAATTATGCTGCTCCTTCTTTCTCTATTCAAAATAATATCACCAAGTATCAATCAACAGTGAAATGGATAAATTGTTGCACATTGATATTTTAAATTATTATACACAGTGAAAATGAAAATGAATGAAAGCTATACGTAACACAAGACAAATATAAGACACAAAATGCTACATGCATTATGATTCTATTTACTTAAAAGAAAAACAGGAAAAGCTAAATATTTTTGTAATGCACACTTCAGTGTTAAAGTTTATACTATATATAAGGTGAGTAAAAAAGCAATCATTACAGAATTGGAGAGTATCTCTAGGAGGAAGGAGTGTATGGTAGATGCGTGTGTGCTGGTACTGGTTCTTTTCTCTTGTTTACTGGATGTGGCATGGATATCTGTTTATGTACTTTTTTGTAAGTATTAGGTTGAGCCATGAATAATTATTGATATTTTAGTGCTTTTGACACCATAGCAATTTTTGCTTGTGACAAAATAGCAATTTCATATGGGTTGACCTAATAAGTTACATTTCATTAATTAAAGTTGTATTACTTAACATAGTATCTATCTATATAGATGCTTGTATAGATGAATAGACATGGCTCAAGGGGCTTGAAGCAATGACCCCACAGTAGCAATCAGCGCATCTAACACAATGATCTTGGTCTCTACCAGATTTATTCAATAAAAGGAACAAGGGTGCCTTGGAGCAATGGCTGATTCCAGGATGGAAGCAGGAAATATACAAGATGAGCCTGGAGTATTTTGTAGTGCCAGAAATTAAGGCAGTACTCAAAAGCACACATACACACACACACACACACACACACACACACACACACACATATATACACAAAATGACGGAAGTAAGTCTAAGAGGCATAGGAGTCAACTGAAACAGCTTCCAAACGCCAAAGCTAAAATAATTTGAACAAAAACAACAAAAACAAAGTTGTATTGGATTTTAACATAGAATTAAAATAAATGTCCAGGATCTAAATGGATACAAATAATCAAATAAATGGGGGAGAAGAGACAAATATCCCATGCAGAAGAATTACAAATAATTTATGTAGATACTCCACTCTCAAGAAGGTGGAACATGACTGCCCACTCATTAAGCGCTGCATATTAACACTCCCTCAGCCAGGTGACCAAGTCATATCAACAGTGTTAAGTCATGTTTTTGGTTAGTATACCTTTGATATGTTGTGATGAGAATATACTTTCTCTCTGTAATCTTCCTCCTCCAAACTCATGAGCCCTATTTATGAGAAAAAGATCAGATAAATCTTAATTAATAGATAATCTACAAAATACCTGACCAGTACTAACCAAAACTGTCAAGATTATAAAAAATATGAAAAGCCTGAGAAACTATCACAGCTAAGAGGAGCCTGAGAACAGATTGTGACTGAATGGATTGCATTACTCCAAAAGAGTTCCTGGAACAGATAAAGGACATTAGGAAAAAAGACTAATGAAATCTGAATAAAGACTGGACCTTAGTTAATGATAATGTATCAATATTGATTTATTGCTTTTGACAAATGTACCACACTAATGTAGTGTTAATAACGAGAGAGTCTGCGTATTGGGTTTATGGGAACCCTCTGTGTTATCTCCTCAATTTTTATGTAGATCTAAAACAGTTTTCAAATAAAAAGTTTATTAAAATGAAACAATTCTTTTTTTTTTTTCAAATATTTAAACAAATTAGTATTTTTCGCTTTTGGGAGTAGTATGAAATGCATGCTACTCATAACTGGCCATATTTTTCAAAGAAGGAAGTGTTTGCATCTCAGCTGAAGTATTAGACTTTTGATTGGCTGTGGTAAACTCCAATTGAAACTCTATTATCATGCAATTGGCAGAACACTTGCTGTTCCTTGTAGGTAAAATGAAACGGTTCAGTTCAATTAAATCGTGGCTAAAAGGCTTGATAACATGGAACCTATTAGAGTAAATTATATTTATTCTGAGAGAAAGACTGACTGGCTGAGTGGGCTTGTCTGTGATACTGCAGTTGGGAGAAATAGAGTTATTTCAGTGTCTCTTCAGTGGGTTGGTTGTATTGGGTAGAAGTAAACATTCTTACAGGCTCAAAGCCTCTGTAAAAGTATCCAGCCAGGGGGGCCAATGCCAGTTTTTCTTACTTGCAGATGGTGTTTTGCATCCTGATGTGTTGAAATATGCCACAAGTTTTAAAATTTATACTAATTGATATTCTAGCTTCTCAAACTACTGCTAGAAGGTTGGGAGGTGATGTCTCAGCCAGGTGGCCAGAGTTTACCATATTCGATGTGACTATGTGGACTGAAACATTCCTAGATATATTTGTATCTGTGAAGGACATACAGTGAGGCTGAAGATGCTTACATTCAGAAAACGGATATGGCAGAGGGTAAATATACAAGTAGTAAGCCCCACAATGTGTGGATTAATGTGGTACACAATTCTTACACACAGAAATAGTCCATCTTCACTCTACACTGGGTCCTACAACTGAGTCCTGTGCTTGCTTCAAGGCAACGCTGTTTTAAAAGGACCACAGCCACAATGACCTGTGTTAAAAGAAAGCACAGGGAGAGGTGGGAGAACCGAGAACCAAAATAGCACACAAGGAAACGTAGGTGTGTTTAGATTGAGGGGAAGCTATGGTTTCTATTCTCAAGTTTTTAAGAGTTGTCATGAGGAAGAAGGCATAAACATTTTATATTGTCCCAGATACATCAAAGTAGTAATGGGCTAACTTAGAAAAAAACAAATTTTGGAATGCTGTAAGGAGGCAATTTCTAATAGAGCTTTTGGAAGACAATTAGGCTAGTTTACAAGATGGTTAGATCCTTGCCACTGCAATTTTCTAGGAAGAGGCTAAACAACCTCTGGGAAATGCTGAAGAAGAAGGAAATCACCCAGTGTATAGCTAGGCTTTTGCGCAAAACAAGAAGAGAAGAGGCATGAGAAGTACAGTGTAGGGGACTAGAAGGCAAGCATTCTAGAAGGCATGGTCCAGAAGTCACTGTGAATGGACATTTTGACAACAGCGACTCAGTAAGAGCAAACAATTAAATACGTTGTATTGACCGGGCACCATGGCTCACACCTGTAATCCCAACATTTTGGGAGACCAAGGCAGGCGGATCACTGGAGGTGACAAGTTCAAGACCAGCCTGGCTAACAGGGTGAAACCCTGTCTCTACAAAAAATACAAAAATTAGCCGGGCATGGTGGTGTGTGCCTGTAATCCCAGCTACTCATGAGGCTGAGGCAGGAGAATATATATATATATATATATATATATATATATATATATATATATATATATGTGTATTTCTCTGTCTCTCTCCATATATATATATATGGAGAGAGACAGAGAAAGAGATTTATTGTTTATTCATGTGAGCCAGTTAAGGAATTAGCTCCCATGATTATGGAGGCTGACAATCCCAAGGTTGTCAATCTCTTTAACAGTCTAGGGACCCATCAGTGCTGATGGTGTAGTTCCTATCTGAGAATGAAGCCCTGAGAACCAAAAGAGCTGATGTTTCAGTTCAAGTCCAAAGGCAGTTAAAAAAATATATCAATGTACCAGCTGGAAAGGTAGTCAAGAAGAATTTCCTCTTATTCGGGAGAGAGGCAGCCTTTTATTCTATTCAGTCCTTCAGCTGATTGGATAATGTCCACCCACAGTAGCAAAGACCATCTGATTTACTCAGTCTATCAATTTAAATGTTAATCTCTTACACAAACACCCTCACAGAAACACCAAGGATAATGTTTGATCAAGTATCTAGGCATCCTGTGGTCCGGTCAAGTTGAAACATAAAATTAACCATCCCGGCCAGGTGCAGTGGCTCACGCCTGTAATCCCAGCACTTTGGGAGGCTGACACAGGCGGATCATGAGGTCAGGAGTTCAAGATCAGCCTGACCAACATGGTGAAACCCAATTTCTACTAAAAATACAAAAATTATCCAGGCATGGTGGTGGGTGCCTGTAATCCCAGTTACTAGGGAGGCTGAGGAAGGAGAATTGCTTGAATCTGGGAGAGGGAGGTTGCAGTGAGCTGAGATCACACCACCGCACTCCAGCCTGGGTGACGGAGTGAGACTCCGTCTCAAAGAAAAAAAAAATAATAATCATCCCACATACTGATGCCTAGGAGCTGAAGGTCTGGATCAATGCAACCAGCAAGAGTGCTAGACCAGCTGAATTAGCATAGGATGAGAGAAATAGAGTGGATGATGGAGGAGGGAGATGATGATTATCAGATATGGCTTTGGCTCCAGCAAGACAAGATGATCGATCATTGATAATCTCAAGTTCTTTCAGGTATTGTGGCGGGCCACCATCTGAAGCACAGGACTTAACAGCAGGCACAAGCAGATCTGAGAAGTAAAAGGAGTAAAGTCTTGTGCAGCACATCTAAACCTTCTCAGCCCTCACTCTGACTCCAACCACTGTTATGGTGATCAGCATTACCTATGTTCACACGGGCACAATAAGACAGCTCCCTGGGGCTTCTTTCATGCCAGAGCTTGGAATGCTCATAGCAACTATACAGCACCCACACACACCTAAACTAGAAGAGCAGGAGAATTAATGTCCTTGGGGTCACCTTTGACCATTAAGAAGGGGAAACTAGTCGATGAATGCTTTTCCCTTTCATTCTCCCTGAGATGCACTTCCTAAGGCTCCTGAGAAGTTTTCCTGGGGCTCAATTTCAGTCCGCTGCTTGATGACACATTCTTCCCTGTTTCACATACTTTGAATCTTCTCGCTGTTCCCTGGACTCACTTTCCAAACAAGGTCCCTAAAACAAGCCTTGGTCTGGGGCTCTCCTCAGGCTAAGCCACTGCTTTTATTCTCCAATATCTCAAAGGAAGCAAACTCATTTCCCTATTGTTTTCTAAACATGTTTGGTCTTTGTTTCAGGTGTACCCCCATGTGCACGCTTCTTGAGTTTTCGGAGGATAAAGAGAATCCACACCAACGTAAAAACGATCCAAAGAGGGTTAGATTGAAGCAAGAACCATTTACTATCACAGGCCTTTTTTCGCCTGACCTTTCCACTGACTTAGAATCATTTGTGGCAGGCATGATGTAAGTACAGCACCCCACCTTTTCTCCTGAGGAGATAGACTTTCTAAGCTTTTGATACCTTTTTAAAAATTATCCCCTAAATCAGATCATCAGATTTGATCCAATGAATTTGTTATTTCAAGTTTTCTGTTACCCACATGCCCCTGGCAGTGTTTCCAAACTCCAGAAACAAGAGATACAGGTATGAAGCAGGCACTGTGCGCTGGGTACCAACTTGTCTGAGCCCAGCAAGACAGGACACCCACACACAGCAGATTACAGGAAGTGGGTTTATTACTTACAGATAGGCAGCAAAGGACAACAGAAGCGGAGGATTCGCTGTGAGCCAGTCCCCTGAGGCTCAGGAAAGCTGCTGGGGACCGATGGAGTCTCATCTGTGACTTACCCACTTGCACTGCAGCTGAGGGACCCTGGATGGGAGCCCACTCAGGCTTTTATACCCTGGGGACAACTTGATATACTAGGCTAAGGCACTGAGGGGCATCCTGTTTCTAGGAGGGACAGGAAGAGAGCATGGGTGGTTCTAGCCAGTCCCTCTTTATTTCAGGATGTTCCATTTCCAGCACATTCTACAATTATTCTTTTTGTTTTATTTATTTATTTAGAGACAGAGTCTCCCTCTGTCGCCAGGCTGGAGTGCAGTGGAGCGATCTCGGGTCAATGCAACCTCCGTCTCCCGGGTTCAAGCGATTCTCCTGCTCAGCCTCCCAAGTAGCTGGGACTACAGGCCTGTGCCACCACACCCAGCTAATTTTTGTATTTTTAGTAGAGACAGGGTTTCATTTCACTATGTTGGCCAGGACGGTCTCAATCTCTTGACCTCGTGATCCGCCTGCCTTGACCTCCCTAAGTGCTGGGATTACAGGCGTGAGCCACCATGCCTGGCCTTTTTATTTTTAAATTGACAAACAATAATTGTACGTATTCGTGGGGTACATAGTACTGTTTTGGTAAATATAATGTACGGTGATCAGATTAGGGTAATTAGCATATCAATCATCTCAAACATTGATTCATTTGTATCGAGAACATTTAATATCCTTCTACTAGCTATGTGAAACTGTAATATATTATTGCTAACTATAGTCATCCTATAATGGTATAGAACACTAGAACTTATTCTTCCTATCTAGCTGTAATCTTGTATCCTTTAACAAATTTATTACAGTTATTCTTGAGAACTACAAGCCAGAGACGGGAGATAACTTGGTCAGTCCAAGGCCACTTGGAAGGCTGTCTGTGATAGGGTTCATCCTGAAGGTTTCAGTGCATTCTGATACACACACCAAGGCAGGAACAAAAGTGTAAGCTGTAAAACCTGTCAAATAAATATTTCCATTAAATTTTTTAACAGTGTAGTTTAGGAGGAAAGAAAGGTCTTTAATTTTTTTTCCGTAGGTATCTGGGTACCCAACAAAAATACTGTCTACTTTATATTCACAGATATCTTTCTAAAATGGTTGCTGTTCTCAAGATGAGGATTAGTGTCAACACTTAGAGCAAATAGTCAAAGTAGAATTCTATTATATAACCAAATAACATGGAAATTTGGAGTGAAGGTGGCATAAGTTTCAGATTTGAGAGATACCGCAGTGTAAATGCCTTGTATTTATTCTGTAAGGGGACTACTCTTTCATGGGGAGTTCCGTCTAACTGAATAGCTTATCGGCAATGTATGAATTTAAAACAGACATGCTTATCCATAAGTAAGTGTGTCACACAACGCATGTCTCTAAATGTGGTACCAAGTGCATAATGATCCCAAATCAACTTTCTCAACTTTGTCTTTCCACTCGTAGAAATGTATTGACTTGAGGGTTGGGAAAGGAACACAGGAATTGGTTTTGAGCTCAGACGGTATACCAACTAGAAGGGCTGAGTGAGTGAAAACCAAACCCTGAAGTTCATCACTCCTTAGTGGCTGGTAAGGTTCCTGGGAGTAGAGTTTTAGGAATGTTGGGGCCAAAAAAGTTCCTATCAATAAAATCATTAAAATCTACTGCTGGCTGGGCACGGTGGCTCATGCCTGTAATCCCAGCACTTTGGGAGGCCAAGGTGGGTGGACCGCCTGAGGTCAGGAGTTCGAGACCAGCCTGGCCAACATGGTGAAAGCCTGTCTCTACTAAAAATACAAAAAAATTAGCCGTGCGTGGTGGCATGAGCCTGTAATCCCAGCTACTTGGGAAGCTGAGGCAGGAGAATCACTTGAACCTGGGAGGCGGAGGTTGCAGTGAGCTGAGATTGCACCATTGCACTCTAGTCTGGGCAACAAGAGTGAAACTATCTAAAAAAAAAGAAAAAAGAAAAAAGAAAAAAAATATATGTGTGTATATATATAGAGAGAGAGAGAGAGACAGAAAGAGAGAGAGAGAGAGACAGAGACAGAGAGAGAGAGCGAGAGAGAGCGAGTGCTATCTTTTGATACTTTGGAAATCAATCCCAGTTTTATGCCAAAAGTTATGCCTGGCAATATCTAAGCTAAGTATTCCAGGTAATAAGCAGAATGTTTCTGGATGTTCCAATTAGGATAATTCTAGTTAGAATTTTCTTGGCTTAGACATCAGACTTTAAAATATTAATAAAAGCTATTTAAAAGAAACACAGAACATTTGAAACTCAAGTTGTAATTAAATATTAAATTCTAACTTAAGGGAAAAGAGCTAGCGAAACTTGACCATTAATGCGATCCATGAAGAGGAAATTTGGCAGCACGGATTTTCCTTTCTTTTTTTTTTTGAGACGGAGTCTCGCTCTGTCGCCCAGGCTGGAGTGCAGTGGCGTGATCTCGGCTCACTGCAAGCTCCGCCTCCCGGGTTCAAGCTATTCTCCTGCCTCAGGCTCCCGAGTAGCTGGGACTACAGGTGCCCGTCACCACGCCCGGCTAATTTTTTGTATTTTCAGTAAAGACGGGGTTTCACCATGTTAGCCAGGATGGTCTCAATCTCCTGACCTCATGATCCGCCCGCCTTGGCCTCCCAAAGTGCTGGGATTACAGGCGTGAGCCACCGCGCCCGGCCGGATTTTCCTCTTTCTTTCCCTCTCTCTCACCCGCTCTCCCTTCCATCCTCTCTTCCTACTTCCTTCCGTCAGTCCGTCCTTCATCCGTGCTCCATAAAATTGCTCCCTTTCTGTTGTATTCTTTTGCTAGTGCTGCCTTAACAAAATACCACAGACAGAAAGGCTTAAACAGCAGAAATGTCTCTTCTCACAGTTCTAGAGGCTGGAAGTCCAAGATCTGGGTGTTGATAGATTTGCTTTCTCCTGAGGTTTCGCCCCTTGGATTGCAGATGGCTGCTTGCTCACTGTGTCCCCAAGTGACTTTTTTTCTTTTTTTCTTTTTTTTTCCAGTGCATGTGCATTTGTGGTGTCTCTTCCACTTCTTAGAAGGACACCAGTCATATTATATTAGGATCCCATCCCGAAGACCTCATTTAACCTTAATTGACCTCTTTAACGTCTGCATCTCCAAATATAGTCACATTCTGAGATCACAGGGCTTACGGCTTCAGTATATAAATTCTGGGGAGCGGGGGAGATACAACTCAGTCAGTAACATATATGTAAATAGGATCATTGATAAGGATTTCTATTCCCTTATGACTACATAAAGTACTTAAGCAAATTATAATATTGAATTATTAAGTGCAACAGAATTTTTAATCAAAACATAAATCAAGGTTCTAAATCATGTCAGTTGCCACATTCATGAGGCTCCATCTTGGCTAATTTCTAAATTAGGTAAAGTTTGTTTCTAATGTTCTTCCTCTCTTCATTTATCTTTTTAACTCCTTTTAACATTAATTTCCCCAGTAAACTTGTTCTTCTGCTGATTTCTTCATCTCTCAGGTGGTCACTTTCGTGCTTTCCCTAGAGAGGATTTAAATGTTTTTCAGACACTAAAATCGGTGCCCATTGTTTAAAAAAAATGCTATTGGAAATTAGCTAGGCGTGGTGGTGTGCACCTGTAATTCCAGCTACTCAGAGGGCTGAGGCAGGAGAATTGTTTCAACCCGGGAGGTGGAGGCTGCAGTGAGCAGAGATCGCACCATTGCACTCCAGCCTGGGCAACAAGAGTGAAACTCTATCTCAAAAAAAAAAAAATGCTATTGAAATGAGTAAGTTTTTATTTGATTTAACTGTTTAGCTCTTATTTGACGTTGGTGACCACTTTCTCATCCCTTATATCAGTTTCAGTTTTCATACATTTTCTGATATCTCCCATATTTTTATCTGTAGCTGAGGTCTCTGAATTCCAGACCCACATAACAAACTGATGACTAGACCTTTGCCCTTGGATATCGCATGAACACTTCAAATGCAACATATTCAACATGGAGACCATTATTTCTCATGCCTCTTGTTCCCTCGCAAGTCCACAACGCACATCCCTCCCCACATTTTGCATTTCTGAAATTGATGCTTCTAACAATGGTATGCCATAGTTTATTAACTTCAAGATTTTCTTTTCTAGTATTCCATAAAATCTTAAATTTGACTGACAAATAATAATTGCATTATTTATGGAGTCCACTGTGATATGTTGACACATGTTATACACTGTGGTATGATGAGATTAGGTTAATTAACATATCCATCACCTCAAATATTTATCATTCTTTTTGGTAAGAACATTTAAAGCCCTCTTTTAGCTATTTTGAAATATACATTCTTATTAATCATTGTCACTATGCTGTGCAACAGAATGCTGGAACTTATTCCTCCCATCTAACAGAAGCTTTGTACCCTTTGACCAATGTCTCTCCTTTTCTTGTACACTGCCCCACCACCCCGTGACCACCATTCTACTCTCTACTTCTATAGTTTGACTTTTTTAGACCTCACACGTAAGTGAGATCATACGATATTTCTCTCTTTGTGGCTGGTTAATTCCATTTAACATAATGTCCTTTATGTTCATCCATGTTGTCACAAATGATGGTTTAACATTAGTGGAGTTTTAGATTCTATGAAATTCAGTATTGAGTTTCACAGACTAGTAGTCTGAACTACCTCGTATCTTTCAGACATGCGCCCTTTTCCCTGTTTTCTGTGCCACCTCTCCAGGTCACACTACCATCACTGCTCCCAAAGATTATTGTACCAGCCTCCATGATGGGTCCTTCAGATTCTAGTATTGCTCACGGGCCCCCAGTGTTATTCTCCACCCCCCACCCTTGTCTACACTGATACCAAAATGGTCTTTTTTCAAGTGAAATTCTAAGTTTGTCTTTCCCAAGCATAATCCATTTTAATGAGGTTCTGTTGCTCACAGAAAAACCAGACTCTTTACTATGGCTTATAAACTTCTGGCTCAGTCTAGTCTGTATAAGTCATCACTCAACACCTTCAGTATCTCACTTTATGATCTGTAGACTCATTGAATCCATTCATGCTTTTTATCGCTCCTGAGAAACTTCACCCAGACATTCTACTCTCACTCCCTTTTCCCTGGCTAACTCTCGTTCACCTCCTAGATTTCAATTTAGACATTAGTCCCTCCATGAGATTCCTCTGGTCTCCCCAAGTCTGTAGTAAAGACACCCCTTTTATTATTATTTTTTTTGAGATGGAGTCTCACTCTGTTGCCCAGGCTGGAGTGCAGTGGCACGATCTCGGCTCCCTGCAACTTCTGCCTCCTGGGTTCAAGCAATTCTCTTGCCTCAGCCTCCTGAGTAGCTGGGATTACAGATGTTCACCACCATGCCCAGCTAATTTTTCTGGTATTTTTTTGTAGAGATGGGGTTTCACCATGTTGGCCAGGCTGGTCTCGAACTCCTGGCCTCAGGTGATCCACCCACCTCAGCCTCCCAGAGTGCTGGGATTACAGTCATGATCCACCACGTCCAGTCAAGACACCCCTTCTATAACATTTTATAATTCCCCAGCCAGCATTTACCTCTTGTTTGATTTTCTATTTGTTTGTAGTCTAAGATAAATTGCATATTTATTAGTACGATTCGTGTTTCATCTGCTTCATTTCCCTTCTCCAGTAAGAAGCTAGTTTCTTTGCATATTCTTTGCCTTGGGCATTTTTACAGAGCTAAAAGAGCTTATCTTTTGCAAAATCTAAATTCACTGAAGAGAATCGGGTAGAAATAACTTAGGGATAGTCTTGAAAATAAAGGTGATTTTCCTATGTAGATGCTGCAGGAAGTGGGATCTTGTGCCTTATTTGCTGAAAGCATCCAAAAAACGTAATAAGATTTCAGACTCTGGCACTGATAGAACAAGGGCGGCTGTACCCTAGACACAGGGGCCTGCAGCCTCATCTAGAATTCTAGAACTTCAAGGATGAGATACAGATGCATCAGAGTGTGTGGGATAAGGTGGAAGATCACAGGGAATGGAGCTGGGACTTAATGCATATGGTCAGATAAAGACCAGAGGGATCCCTCTGGACATGGGGTGGGAAGCTGGGTGAGAATAATGATTGATATTGAGCTTTTTGCCAGACTGGTGAGGTGAGGACTCGGAAACATGGTTAGGCTGATTTAAAGAAAATGAAGAAACGCCCTGTATCTTGTATGGTCATGTTTGTGAACCAAGATTCAAACTCATAATATCTGTGACCTCCACTGCACTTTCACTGTAGGCAACCTTGGCTCCTCTAACTGGAGAGTTTTTCTTTCCTCCCCTCCCCTCCCCACCCCTCCCCTCCCCAGCCCTCTCTTCTCCTCCGCACCCCTTCAGACTTTCTATTACATTTTATGTCATTTTACTTTCTTTCTTTTCTTTCTTTTTTTTTTTTTTGAGATGGAGTCTCACTCTGTTGCCAGGCTAGAGTGGAGTGCAGTGGTGTGATCTCAGCTCACTGCAACCTCCGCCTCCCGAGTTCAAGTGATTCTCCTGCCTCAGCCTCCTGAGTAGCTGTATTTTTAGTAGAGATGGGGTTTCACCTTGTTGGCCAGGATGGTCTAGATCTCTTGACCTCATGATCCACCTGCCTTGGCCTCCCAAAATTCCGGGAATTTTGCTTTCTTAATACCAGATTTATTGAGATATAATCACATACTATAAATTTCACTCTTAAAATATGCAATTTAGAATTGTCCAGCCATGATCAGTATCTAATTTCAGAACATTTTCATCACCATCCAAAAGACAGCCCGTATCCATAGGAATCATCCCTCATTTTCCTCCTCCCTCTCCCCTACTCCCAGCCCCTGGCAGCCAGTAACTTACTTTCTGTCTCTATGGATTTGCCTGTTCTGTACATTTCATAGACATGAAATCATATAATATATGGCTTTTTGTGACCAGTTTCATTCACTTAGTGTAATGTTTTTAAGATTCATCAACATTATGAGGACTAAATATTTAGTTCTTATTTATGGCTAAATAACATTACATTGGGTTGATATACCACCTTTGTTTATCCTTTCATAAGTTGATAGGCATTGGGTTGTTAGCAGATATTAGCTATTATGAATAATGTTATTATGAACATAATTGTGAATGTTTTATGTATGGATATATGTTTTCCATTCTTTTGTATATATACCTGAAAGTGAACTTATGAGCTCACATGGTAATTCTATGTTTAACACTGAGGAATTGTCATCTTTCCCAAAATGACTGTACCATTTTACATTCTCATCAGCAATATGAGGGTTCTGATTTCTACAAATCCACTTGAACACTTTTTATTGTCTTCCTTTTTAATTGTAGCCATCCTAGTGGGTGTAAAGTGATTTCTCACTGTGGGTTTGACTTCATTTCTCCGATGAATAATGCAGTTGAGTGCCTTTCCATTAGCCTGTTGACCATTTGTATATCTTTTTTGAGTCATGTCTATTCAAATTCTTATGCCCGTTTTAAAATGAGATTATTTATATTTCATTGTTGAATTGTAAAAATTCTTTTTACATTAGCATACAAGTCCCTTATCTGATATATTATTTGCAAATATTTTTGCTCATTCACTGAATTTTTTCGTTTTCTTGGTGGTATCCTGTAAAGCACAAAATAGTGTAATTTTGATCAAGTAAAATTTACTTAGTTTTTCTTTCATCACTTGAGCTTTTGTTGTCATATTTAAGAAGTCATTGCTTAATTCAAGGTCATGTATATTTACCTGTATGTTGTCTTCTAAGAGATTTATAGTCAATAATTCATTTTGAATTAATTTTGTATATGGTTTTAGGTAGGGGTCCAATTTTACTCCTTTGCTTGTGGATATCAGTCATACCAACACAATTTGTTAAAATATCTCTGTACTACTTTTGTATCTTTTTCTGTAAGCTTATTTAAAAATAAAAAATTTAAAAAAAGTTTTTGACTTTTAGTGCTACCTCTTGGCTCTGGCATTCTGGAATTCCATCTTCCCAATGATACCAGAGAGCCCAGGGTCATGAGAGTATGTCCTGTTGGTAACTATAGAAAGCCGCCATTACCAAACTCAAGATGCCAGTGTCCCTTTCGCTAGTACAACTTTTATTGCCTAAGTGCCCATGAGGCCATTGCATAGAATATATTGAAGAGGTGAATCCTTCAGACTCACATATATATCCATTCTAACAATGCCACCTTTCTGAGACTTTCAATCTTTCTTAGCGCTCTGCCGAAGCAGTTTGCTAATGTCCACTTTCATTTACTATAATCCTTTGTTGTGTCTAAGTTTCCAAGAAAGCCATACCAACAGTGTATTAGCCTATGTTACAAGTCTTCTTGCCATTAATGTTGGACTGAGTCATTTCAACAAACTCCCCCTTAATTCACCTGTATTCTACACCCATTGTAGTCCAAAGGATCCTGATAATATATATTAGTAAGGTTCTTTCTTTTCTTCCCTTTATAAGTATTTTCCTAGGTATCGTAGGTGTTTTTTTGTTTTTGTTTTTTTTTTTAAGATTGTTTTTCTGCTTGGACTATCCTGATCCCAGATTTTGAGAGACAGTGAGGAATTGTTTTTGACTTTTAGTGTTACCTCTTGGCTCTGGCATTCTGGAGGAAGTGAGGAATTCTGGGAGCAGATGTTGAATAGAATAAGTATAGTACCTCAAGATATTTGCTAAATGTTTGTTTCCAGACAAGCGTAACCTGTGTTCCTTTATCAGGAACTAGGTGACTTAACTAATTAAATAAATAATTCATTAATCCACCAGTACTTTTGAGCAATTACCACTCACAGGCATTCTGTTGGTCTCTCTTTTTTTGGTGGGGTGGGGGGTGACGGGGGGATGGAGTCTTGCTCTGTCGCCCAGGCTGTAGGGCAGTGGCACGATCTTGCCTCACTATAGCCTCTGCCTCTCGAGTTCAAGCAATTGTCCTGCCTCAGCCTCCCAAAGTGTTGGGATTAGTCATGAGCCATCATGCCCAGCCTGCTAGTCTGTGTTTTCTGGATATTTGTGTCTGCCGTTGAAGCTAAGTGCCTTCTTCTGCTGTCTGCCAAAATTCCCCTTAGAACAATCAACCAGTGATTTCATCATTTGTAACGTTTAATCAGTTTTTTAAACTTTAAAGTTAAGATAGTCATTATAAGGGAGCAGAAAATCCAATCAAAATTTGATTTTATCAACATAGTTAACACAAACTTTGCCCAGGTCAACCTGTAGCTACTGTTATTAACTCAGTGTGTGTACTCTATGTTTATTAGGGAAGCAATCTTACAAGAAGAGAAAGTTGATTGAATACAAGAAAAGACATAAAATCCTTTTAAACATGTGCTTACTGAAGTGGTAAGGAAAAGACAAAACCAAGACCATGGATATGGATCATGAGACAGTTATGCTCTCATCATTTGTCTAAAATTATTTTCTCATATTGAAGGAAAAGAGGTATGATGGGGAAGAAAATTCCGCCTCTAGCCTATCCTATATTTGGGAAACCAAAGAGGACAATTAAGAAAGGGATAGGGCAGGGTGCGGTGGCTCGCGCCTGAAATCCCAGCACTTTGGGAGGCCGAGACGGGCAGATCACAAGGTCAGGAGATCGAGACCATCCTGGCTAACACAGTGAAACGCCATCTCTACCAAAAATACAAAAAAATTAGCTGGGCATGGTGGCGGGCGCCTGTAGTCCCAGCTACTCGGGAGGCTGAGACAGGAGAATGGCGTGAACCCGGGAGGAGGAGCTTGCAGTGAGCCGAGATGGCGCCACTGCACTCCAGCCTGGGCGACTCAGTGAGACTCCGTCTCAAAAAAAAAAAAAAAAAAAAAGAAGGAAAGGGATAAAGAACATTGTACTTACTTTTCCTCAATAACCCAAGAAAAGTAATAATGGAAAAAGGGGCTAGTAGTCATGACTTATTTTTGACCCAAGAGAAAATTATTCTTTTAGTACAGGATACAAGAGCACATACTCTTTTTTTTTTCACTGTGTATCTAAATTGGAAAATTACTCAAAGCCTATGCAGTATATGGTTTCCCTTTTGAGCCATAGAGTGTGTCTGTAGCTATACTTTGAAGACTTCAGAAGACTCATTTTTCTGTTTTTGTTTTCTGGTTGATGTCAAGAGTAGCTCTCTTTACCAGTCAGTGGCTCACGCTAAAGTTTTCTCTTCAACCGGCTTTTAAAAGCATAGTGGGTGGAAGGGCAGCAATGTTAACAAACGAACTTATAAGGGATAAAAATGCAAATGACATTTCTTACTTCGTAAGAATAATCGAATTGGAAACTTTCTGTTTCCTCTCCCTGCAACCCTGCACTACTCTGGTTTATGTGTCCTTATTCCCAGCAAAAGAATACTTTCACCAGGCTACACAACAATGGTTCAGGGAATTGGATGTTATCTACCCACTCCCAGGCCATTTCTTTCTTCTCATGTACAAGCCGAATGAATAACAAAGAGGGTCACAGTATAAACCTCAGCAGCAGGAAGACATAGGTTTGTTTATACACAGCGCCAGAAGAAAGAAGTCTGTCTAGTGACGGTGGATCAGACTCTGAAGCACTTTCTCATTTTGCCATGCCCAGGAAATGAAAATCTCCAGCAATCACAAGCAAGCCTGTCGACCAAAATCTCTCATTTCGTAGAACTAAAAATAACAAATAGAAAAATAACCACTGGGTACTAGGCTTAATACCTGGGTGATGAAATAATCTGTGCGACAAACCCTCATGACACAAGTTTACCTGTATAACAAATCTGCACATGTATCCCTGAACTTAAAATAAAAGATAAATTAAAAAAAATTTAGGGGTACACTGACTGGCTGAGATACTGACTGAAGATGAGTGGAAGGTGGAATGGAAAGTGAGGAATAAAACTAATTAATATTAGTAATTCTTCCAGATAATAAGAACCAGTGACATACCTAGGATATTTCAAACTCAGATAATCTGTCAGCATCAGCCATGTGGTAGGCAGTCACTAAGATGGCCCTGATGATCCCTGCCTCTTGGTCTTGATTTTCTCGTGTGGTCTCCTTCTATCCTTCTGTACTGAATTGGCAGAAGTGATTCCACCTACATCCAAGATTGGGTTATTATTTTATTGCGTTGGTGCAAAAGTAATTGTGGTTTTGGTCATTACTTTTAATGGCAAGAACCGTAATTACTTTTGCACCAACCTACAAAATAAAAGCAAACCATGGCTTCTATTTTGGTTACTCTGCTGTCACAGATCACTTGCTCTGGGGTGAGCCACATGGGAAGCACCCTGTGGAGAGGCCCACAAGGCAAGAAAGCGGAGTCTCCCATCAATAGCCATGTGAGCAAGCTCAAAACTCAGATTCTCAGACCCAGTCAAGTTATTAGAGCTTGCAGCTGTGTCCAACAGCTTCACTGTAATCAATGAAGCAGAACTACTCAGAGAAGGTGGACCTGGTCATGACCTTCAGAAACTTTGTGAGATAATAAATACTTGTATTTAAGCTGCTAAGTTTTGGGGTAATTGTAATGTGTGTGTGTATGTGTATTTATACACATACAAAGATGTCCCTCAGATATCATTTTATTTGGTAATAATGACAAAATGAAACAAGAAATAGTAATGGCCAGAAAAGAAATGTAGACAACGAAAATATTCTTATTTTGAGTTTCTATTTATAATTGTGTCAGTTTAAAAATATGAAAAATAAAATGAATATTACAGTACAAAAAGGAATAAAGGAATAATGTTTTAAAATTATATTAATGCATTTTTTTGTAAAAAGAGAACAATGTATAGGTATTGGCTGTTACAGTAACAAATAGTAACAATGAGATTTCTGTTTTTGAGACTTCTGCAAATAAGTCAATAGTTTGGTTAAGATATGTCTTCTTTGCATATTTATGTTCAATAGATAGTACATGTGTATTTGTCAGCCTATCTTAGCTTAGTTGTTTGAAGTATGCTTATTCATTTTAATTTTGAAATTTGATTTTATACAATGCAACAGTAAAATGGTTAAAAGTCTTACCTACCGTCTCTTTCTTCTCTTCTCTCATTATTATTATTATTACTATTTTTAATCCTGTTGTCATTTGATCACGTTTAGATATCTTTTCTCTTTTTCATGGTCAGTGCTTACGAAAAGGAGGTGGCTCCTTGTTATCTTTCAGCCCTATATCATCAAAATCTTGTTTCATTTCTAGTATTTGTTCTCTGGATGTGCTGGCTTGCATTTCTTCACAATGTTTATTAAATATATGTAATGTTGACGAACTTACATGTTTTCCAGGTAGATCCAACAAGACTCACATTGCTTCAATTACATCCTTTTTGGCCTTTAAAAATGTTTGTTGGTTGAGCTCCCTGCTGGTTCTGGCCAATGCCATTTCATGTTGGCATATGTACCCAACTTCAAATTTCTTCAAGAAATTTTTCAGAGTAAGTATGAACCAATGGCTCACTTTTACAGTGATAATGCAAAATCCAAATTTCCATAGGAAAACGAAGCACAACTATTTATTCAATAGTTTTTATTTCCAATATTTTGAATTTCGATCATTTGCTACCAGTCTTATATAATATACATTTTATTAAAACCAAAATGTCAACAAAAGATATAACTCAGGCATTGAATAAATTACACAGCTAATGCCACATTTTATTTTTCGGATTTGTTCTTTAGAGATACAAAATTAACAAGTCTCTACAAATAAAAAATTAGCTGGTTATAGTGACACCTGCCTGTATTCTCAGCTACTCAGGAGGCTGAAGCGGGAAGATTGTTTGAGGCTGGAAAGTCAAGGCTGCAGTGAGCTGTGATTGCACCACTGCACTCCAAGCTGGGCGATAGAGCCAGACCTTGTCTCAAACAAAAAAGAAAGAAAGAGAGAAATACAGAGAGAAAGAGAGAAAGACAAGACAGAGGGAAGGAAGGAAGGAAGGAGGGAGGGAGGGAAGGAAGGAAGGAAAGAGGGAGGGAGGGAGGGAGGGAGGGAAGCAAGGAAGGAAGGAGGGAAGGAAGGGAGGAAGGAGAAAGGAGAGAGAAAGAAGGATAAAGGAAAGAAAGAAATAGAGAAATAAAAAAGAAAGAAAGAAAGAACAGAAAGAAAGGTCAACCACAGAAATGTTAATAAAATGTTTTATTTAAAAATGGCTGGCCACCTGGGGTGGATACCTCCCTCCTTTCCAGCCCTTGGTATAAAAATGACAGCCAAAAATCAGCACCTTCCAGGCAAACTCAAACATACACTGTATCATAGTGATTTCTCTTGATCTGTAAAAACAGGATTTCCTTCAGCTTAGCAATATTTTTGACTATTACATAGTTTTTCTTCTGTTCCAATTGTTACTAGCCCTTCTTCAGGAGTAACTATGACCCGCGTTGTCAAATAACTATTGTCTGCTTCCATATCTCTCATTCTTTTTCTCATTTTTTTCATTTTTAAAGTATTTCCCTTTGCATTCTGGGAAATATATAATGACCTACTTTTCTTCTTTTTTTTTCATGTGTAATAACCCACTTTTCCTTCAAACTTTCTCTAGGGTAAATCCTCTCGTTATATTTCTTTCATTCACTCTTTATCTCATAATTTTCCTTGTAATTTCTGCTTAACTTTTGGTCATTCTTTCATTTCAATATTTTGTCATATCTCCTATTTATCACATCTTGGTTACAAATTTTATTTTTAATAAACTTTGCATGAAAGCACAAAATATATTCCCTGTTACTTTTCTTATGCAAGTATGTTCTTTCTCTTTCTTATAAATGTTTAAGTCACCTTTTATTTTTCAGAAACTTTTCACAGGCTACATGTCTATTTGCTGTGAGTTTCCCCAAGGTGGTATTTTCTGCAATGCACTGTGCATGCGTTTACCGTGGGTTTTCAAAATGTATACCTGAATGGCCTTAGAATTGTCCTCTTTATTGTTTGTATTAGTAACTTAGTGATTCAGAGATCTGACAGAAAAAAGGTTAACCCAGAATTGTAAGTAATCTCAGTAGTAATTTCAATTTTGTCTAAATTTTCTTCTGTGTTTGACGAATTTGTTGTGCCAAGAGGCAGTCTTCTTTTCAAGCTATTAAGTTGGAAACTTTTGGAGCTATTAAGTTGGAAACTGTTTGAATGAACTAGTATTTTGTTCTCTTTTCAAGCTAACAAGTTAGCTTGCCAGTATATATATATATATATATATATATACACACACACACACACACATATACATATATATTTACATGTGTATACATGTTTATGTGTGTGTATATATTACATGTTTCTGCATATATATATATACACACACACATATATAAACATGTAAATTTATGTTTTGAATAGTTGTGCCTTTTTGTCCTGTGGAAATTTGGGTTTTGCAGTGTCACTGTAAAACTGAGCAATTGGTTCATGCTTACTCTGAAAAATTTCTTGAAGAAATTTGAAGTTGGGTATATATGCCAACACGAAATAGCATTGGCCAGAACCAGCATGGAGTTCAACAAACAAACATTTTTAAAAGCTAAAAAGAACGTAATTGAAGCAATATGAGTCTGGTTGTGTCTACATATAAATATATTACCTATATGTTTACATGTTTATATATGCATATGTGTTTTTATGTGTATACAAAATATGTGTGTATGTATTGTATATATATGCATGTATGTGTATGTATATACATGTACATACATGTGTGTGCATATATATGTATATACACACACATATGCACACACATGCACATGCACATATAGACACACATAAACATAGACACAGACATGCACATTCATATATCTATGCACACACATATAAATGTATATGAATATATGGCAGCCAGAACAGCATCTTGTACCAAATCCCCACGCTCTAAGCTCTGTAGGGTGATGTGATGAGGACTGGACATAACACAGGTGAGGAAATGTATGACTGGGAAGCTGAGTTTTTATGGGGCTGCCGGAGCATCTGCATGTTTTTCTCTCCAGAGGGATTATACTCAGCATCCTGGAATGTAAACAAATCTCCTTTAAGGGAGAGGGGAAGGGCATTTCTAGATTTGTCACTCTGGAATATAAGCAAATGTCTTTGAGAAAGGAGAGGATTCTGTTTTACTATCCTAGGATGACTCAGTAAGTCCATCTTTAAGTCTCTCCAGTGGGAAGCACTACTCTCTAGCTTCTAAGGCTGTTTCCCATTTAAACATGTCCTTCTTAGTAGAACATGAGAAATCTGTGGAGAATTGTCCTCCCATCACAGGAGCCGGATTCATATGCTACTTAAATGACGTGGCTTTCTGTGCACTCTCCTATCACTGATACCTCTTTTGTCAGGTCTCATCTTGGCTGTTCTTGGAGAAGCCCTGCTTACCCTCCTGATTTTCTACGTATAACTATGTAAAATTTTAATCCTCAGGAAGTGTTGCTTTTTAATTTTGTCGATAACTTGTAGCTAAAGGCATTCTGGAATGAGGTCTGTGTCATGATCTCTTTTTACTTCCAACCTTTGTCCTTAGAACTAAATCAGACAGGAATCTCATATTATCACTTCTCAGAAATGTACCTTACTTTTTCATAAAACAGAGTTGTGTAGCTAACTTTGACACATTTCTACCTCCTAATTTTTAATTTTTATCTGTGCCACATTTCTAGCAGACATTCTTCTAAATGCAAGGCACATGAGGGCCACCCTTCCTTAAGTTTCAATTCCAATGCATCATCTTTTTATCATCTGGTGGCATTTGGGATGAGAATGGAAGGAATTTAGAGGCATGTGCCTAGCTCATCATCTAAAGAATTACTTTACATGTTTTAACTGTTTCTTGTACTTTAAGAAAGAATAAACTAAGTATAAAAATATTTATGGAAATACTTTATATGTTTGTTATTGCATTTCCCCCTTCTTTAAAAAATAAACTTCTGAATGGTTTTCAGTGAGACATGCCCATGCAGATTAAATTCAGTAGTTATTGATTATTTACTACATTTAGGTGATATAGGCTCTATATCTGTAAGATTTATAACATATTCAATTTATGCTGGTAGGTCAAAAACACAAATATTAAAAAGACTCTAAAATATGTAAGTTTTTCAAGTTTGGAAACTCCTTTTCAATGCAAAAGAAACAAAATCAGAGAGTAAGCTTATGTGTATAGAAACTTGAGCTAATGAAGATAAAATTTTCAGACCATTTTACATGGAGTAAATAACTGGAAGTTTTAGAATAATACCCATTTCCAAAGCATACAATTTAGTCACTGATTTATTCGACAGCCCCATATGTTTATTACACAATAATAAATTCACTGTAGACATACGCAAAAACATTTATGTATAAACTACAAGAGGTTTTTATCACGGGAGACTATGACCGTATCCTTAAAATGTAATATGATTTCAGATTACAAGCATCCAAGATACAATTAATGTATAATCTGAATAGAAATGGCAACTTATGGATGTTCCTATTTCTTTAGCAGTGACAATTAGAAATGTTATTGCCGTGTTATTGCTAAAATAATGTTCTCTTTTTAGAAGATTCAGTTTCTTGCAAAGCTCTCAGTAATCTTACTGTTTTATTTCTTTAAGATGTATTTGGGATCTAAGTTGCATGTTTAAAAATTATTTTCTATAAGATCATAAGAGCCTCAGAACAAAGCTGTATAAAATTCTATCAACGGATTGGCAATTAAATCCTAACATATTTACCATGACGATAACAAAGTGCTGATATAACAAAATGGCAGTGTACATACATTTCAGAATTCTTGTGTAGGCTCATTGGAAAGTAAAGTAATTTGGCTCAATTCCTTTTTTCATCACAAGCATAAAACTACACATTTTAGCAGTAAGAATGCCCAATAAGTTAAATACTTTTTTACACAAAACAATTTAAATAACAATGATTATATGTATCAACTTGTTAATGAGATATTTTCAGTTAATTCGATAAACTTAGTGGATGTATGTAACCAACAGTGACTCTATCTCAGTTTCCTTACTCAGTAAAACGGAGACCAAAAGGAAAATTCTATAAAGTTGCTATATTAGTCCATTCTCACACACTGATAAAGACATACCCGAGACTGGGTAATTTATAAAGAAAAAGAGGTTTAATGGACTCACAGTTCCACATGGGTGGGGAGGCCTTACAATCATGGCAGAAGGTGAAAGGCATCTGTTACATGGCAACAGAGAATGGAAACCAAGCCAGAGAGGTTTCCCCTTGTAAAATGGGAACCAAGCCAAAGGGGTTTCCTTGTAAAACCATCAGATCTTGTGAGACTTATTCACACATGAGAACAGCATGGGAAAAACCACCCCATGATTCAATTATCTCCCACTGGGTCCCTCCCACAACATGTGGGAATTATGGGAGCTACAATTGAAGATGAGATTTGGGTGGGGACACAGCCAAACCATATCAGTTGCAGAGTGACTTCCTGAACGGTCCTTTATTTTTGCAGAAAGAGGAAAAAAAGGAACAGTATTCTATCTGTGCCTACTATAGCCCAGGATTTTCCCATGGGATGTGCATGTGCAGTCTTATTTTGGCCAGGCTCGGTGGCTTACGCCTGTAATCCCAACACTCTGGGTGGCCAAGGTGGGTGGATCACTTGAGGTTAGGAGTTCCAGACCAGCCTGGCCAACATGGTGAAATCTCATCTCTACTAAAAATACAAAAAATTAGCTGGGCGTGGTGGCAGGCGCCTGTAATCCCAGCTACTCAGGAGGCTGAGGCAGGAGAATTGCTTGAACCTGGGAGGCGCGGCTTACAGTTAGCTAAGATGATGCCACTGCACTCCAGCCTGGGCAATAGAGCAAGAGTCTGTCTAAAATATATATATATATATATATATATATATATATAATTTATATATTTATATATAATTATATATTTATATAAATTATATATTTATATAAATTATATATTTATATAATTATATATTTTTAATATATTTTTTATATATAATTTTATATATAATTTTATATATAATTATATATTTATATATATTTATATTTATATATAATATATATTTACATATTTATATAATTATAAATATAATTATACATTTATATAATTATAAATATAACTATACATTTATATGTATTATATAAATATAACTATACATTTATATGTATTATGTAAATATAACTATACATTTATATGTATTATGTAAATATAACTATACATTTATATGTATTATGTAAATATAACTATACATTTATATGTATTATGTAAATATAACTATACATTTATATGTATTATGTAAATATAACTATACATTTATATGTATTATGTAAATATAACTATACATTTATATGTATTATGTAAATATAACTATACATTTATATGTATTATGTAAATATAACTATACATTTATATGTATTATGTAAATATAACTATACATTTATATGTATTATGTAAATATAACTATACATTTATATGTATTATGTAAATATAACTATACATTTATATGTATTATGTAAATATAACTATACATTTATATGTATTATGTAAATATAACTATACATTTATATGTATTATGTAAATATAACTATACATTTATATGTATTATGTAAATATAACTATACATTTATATGTATTATGTAAATATAATTATACATTTATATGTATTATGTAAATATAATTATATTTTATATGTATATATAGTCATATAATATATAAATACATATATTTATATAAATAAATGTATATTTATATATATTTATAGATAATTGATTTTACAGACCAGAAAACTGAGGCTCAAAGAGGCTAACCAGCTCAATCAACTTGGAAAATGGGAGTCACGTTGGTTTCCTCCTCCTGCTTTTCCCCATGTCCAAACAATTATGTTCTATCTGTTTTCAATCTCAGTAGTTTTCTTTATCTCTCTTCTCCTTCTCATTCCTATCTCCTAGTTGGATTTTAAATTTTTTTTATCTAGAGTAATGCCATAGCTTCCTATCTGGCCCATCTGACTCCAGTCCTCATTTTCAAACCAAACACTAAGAATGTTATTGGAAGGCTTTATTTGCCAGGTCCCCACAACTTCAGGCAGAATCCTACAAGTACTCTCTCTCCTTTTAAAGTTTTTTGCAATGCCAAATCTTAGTCATCATGAATATGCCAATTATCCTGATTTGATTGTTACCCATTGTATAGATATGTATAAATATCACACTGTACCCCATAAATATGTATAACTATTGTGTCAATTAAAAATAATTAAAAAGTACTGAAGTACACTATACATACAAAGAAAAAGTGCACGAAGTTTTTTTGTTTGTTTTGTTTTTGAGGCAGAGTTTCACTCTTATCGCCCATCCTGTTGTGTAATGGTGCAATCTTGGCTTACTGCAACCTCTGTCTCCTGGGTTCAAGTGATTCTCCTGCCTCAGCCTCCCGAGCAGCTGGGATTATAGGCATGTGCCACCATGCCCGGATAATTTTTTATTTTTAGTAGAGACGGGGTTTCTCCACATTGGTCAGGCTGGTCTCGAACTCTTGACCTCAGGTGATCCACCTGCCTTGGCCTCCCAAAGTGCTGGGATTACAGGCATGAGCCACCATGCCTCGCAAAGTGCACAGATCTTTCACATATAGCTCAATGAACAATCAAATGAACACGTCTATGTGGCCACCAGTTAAGCTGAAAAATTGACTATTACTAGTTCCTGGAAGACCCCATTATGCCCTTGCCTAAATTTCTTAGCCTCCTTCCTCCTCCAAGGTAACCATCACTCGAACCTTTAATATGGTAGAAGACTTGTCTGTTTATATGATTTTTGAACTTTGTGTAATGAAGTCATCATATGTGTTCTATTCTGTAAGTATTGCTTTGATCAACATTGTTGCATGAGATTATTCCCTGCTTTTCATTGCTGAATATAAATTTTTTAGCCATTATGCAGTTTATAGATATTTGGGCAATTTCTACTTTAAGGCTCATGAATAAGGCACATGAGCATTCATTTCCATATCTTGGTGTACACATATGTGTATGTGTACTGAAATTTTACTATCAAATACAACCATATTACAACACATAGGTTAAAGAACAGAATATAACCACAACCCCAGAATCCTTCATCATACCTCTCTGCTCTTTTGACGTCTAATATTTTTCTTATGTTCATAATTCATAATCAGTATTTTTCTCCTCTACGTAAATGGAATTATCCAATATGTACTACTTGGGATGTGAATTGGCCAGATGCATCTATGTTACTGAATATACCCATAAACTTTTAATTCTTTTCCAAAGGTAATATTTTATTGTGTGGCTATACTAGAATTCATTTATCCTTAAAACGATGGGTAGTCATTTAGGTAATTCATGTTTTTTTTTTTTGCTGTTGTAGTGTGGCTAGGACTATTCTACTACATGCATTTGGTGGATATTGGTATGCATCATTTCCAGCGTTTGTAATGGGATCATTAGATGAAGAAAGCCTGTACTAATTGACTCTCCCACTAACAGTGTTGGAGAGTTCTTGAGGCTCCATACCCTTCATCAACATTTGTTATTGTCAGAATTTTTACTTTTAGTCATTCTTTTGAGTAGGTAGTAGTATTTCTTTGCGGTTTTACTTTGTATGTCTCTTACGACTAATGAAGTATAGCAAAGTTTCATATGTTATTCCTAATTTTTTATCTTCTTTTGTGAAGTATGTGTTCAAGTGTTTTGTCCACTTTTCCCATCTGCTTTTTCTTATTTATTTCTTAAAGTTCTTAATCTACTTGAGGTATGAATTTTATTTTATTTTTGAGATGGAGTCTCACTGTGTCACACAGCCTGGAGTGCAATGGTGCGATCTCGGCTCACTGCAAACTTTGCCTGTCAGGTTCAAGTGATTATCCTGCCTCAGCCTCCTGAGAAGCTGGGATTACAGGCACCCACCAACATTCCTGGCTAATTTTTGTATTTTTGGTAGGGATAGGGTTTTACCATGTTGGCCAGTCTTGTCTCGAAGTCCTGACCTCAGGTGATCAACCAGCCTCGTTCTTCTAAAGTGCTAGGATTATATGCGTGAGCCACTGTGCCCAGCCTAAATTTTATTTTAAAATTAGATGTATGTTATCTTTTTCTCCTACTTTGTTCATTTTCTTATTTGTGACTTTAGTTGAACAGTTTTTCATTAAAGTAGCTCAATTTATCATTTTTTCCCATTTACATTTATTAGCATTTTTGTGTTGTAGAACAAGTTTTTGCTCACTTTCAGGCCATAAAGATGTTTTCTTCTAAAACATTTACTGTGTTACATTTTATGTTTAGATCTGTAATTCATCTGGAAAGGATTTTTTAGCATATAGTGGGAAGTGGCGCCATCCAATTGCCCAATGACTATTTATTAAAAGACCACCTTTTTTACAAATGCCCTGCAGAGTCCCCTTGGTCAGGTGACTATATTTGTATGGATTGTTTCTGATCAGTGAATCTATTCTTAAAGCAATTTCTCCACTGTCTTAATTATAATAGCTTTAAAGCAGGCCATATAACTGAGAGGTAAGGTAAAACCTCCACCACTGTTCTTTCTCAAGATGACGCTATTTTTAGCCCTTTACATTTCTAAATGAATTTTAGAATACACATATAAACTTTTCCAAACAATTCTATTCAGATTTTGTTTGTGATGGCTTTGAATCTACAGATTATTTTGGGGAAAATGGTGTATTTGCAATCTTGAGTCTTCCAACCCATGTATACTTATGTTCCTCTATTTATTTACATCTTTAATTTTTCTCTATGATGTTCTGTAGTTTTTATTCTAGGAAATGTGCACATCTTTCATTAGATTTATTCCTGGCTATTTGACATTTTTAGTGTATTTTTAAATATTTGGTGCTGGTATAAAAATAGTATCAATTTTGCACATTGATTTAATCTCTAGTAACTTCATTAAGTTTGTTAGTAGATACTTTTAGATTTTCTATGGACAAATAATGTCTGAGAATATAGGCAGCTTTATTTTTTTCTAATCATTATTATTTTTAATTCTTTTTCTTTTGCATTATTCAATCATTAGGATTTCCAGCATAATGTCAAATAAAAATGCTGAAAGTGGACAGCAGGGCCTTCTTCTTAATCTCAGAGGTGAAGCTTTCAACATTTCATCTTCATGTACTGTGTTTGCTATTGATTTTTATATACTCTTTATCAGAAGGAACTTCCCTTTTATTTCTAGTTTGCGATGAATGTTTATCATAAGTGGACAATGAAGTTGTCATAGACTTCTATGTTTATTGAGATAATAATTTGATTTTTAACTCTTTTATTATGTCATTTTGGTAAATAAAAATGTTGCTTTTTAAATGTAGAATCAACCTTGCATTATAAAGGTAAACCCAACTTGAACACAATATATTATTCTTTATTTTATGTATTATTGCTCTTCTTTTACTAATAGTTTATTGAGGAGTTGTAAAACCAATGTTCTTTAAGAAAATTAATCTGTAATTTTCTTTCTTTGCAATGTTCTTTTCAGTTGGTGTCAATGTCACACTAGTCTCATGAAGTAAGTTAGAAAGTGTTCTCTCCTTTTCTTTTTTTGTAGAAAAATTTCTGTACATTTATGTTATTTCTTTCATAAACATTTGAAGGAATTCACTGGTTAAGCCATCTGGGGCCTCATCGTTTTCCCTGTAGGACATTTAAAAATTATAGATACAACTTCCTTAATAGCTATAAGGTTATGTAGCTTTTAATTTATTCTTGTGTTAGTTTGCTAAGTTGAGTTTTAAAGGAATTTGCCATTTCATCTAAATTTTTCAAAATTATTGCAGTAATCTGCTTATAGTATCCTCTTATGACCTGTGTCATATCTGTAGTTTTTGTAGTAATACCATCTTTACCATGATACTATTTGTACCTAGTACACTTTTTTCTTGTTCAGTCTCAGTAAGGATTTTCCAACTTAGTAGCCTTTCTAAAAGGTAACTTTTGGATCTATTAATCCTCTCTATTTTTGTCTATTTTCTACTTCATCTTATGTGGTTTACCTTATTCTTCCCTCTCTTTTACTTTTCTCTGTTTTTATTTGCTGTCTTTAAAAAAATCTTAAATGGATAGCTAGATAATTTTAGCCTTTTAAAAATTACATTTAAAGCTATAAATTTTCATCTAAGTATGATTTTCGTGGCAACCAACAAACTTTGCTATGACTTGTTTTCATTTTCTTTTGGTTCAAATATTTTTAAACTTGCATTATAATTTTTCCTTTGACATGTGCTACTTATAAGCAAACTATTTAATTTCTTTTTTTAAAATTTGATTATTATTATACTTTAAGTTTTAGGGTACATGTGCACAATGTGCAGGTTTGTTACATATGTATACATGTGCCGTGTTGATGTGCTGCACCCATTAACTCGTCATTTAGCATTAGGTATAAACTATTTAATTTCTAAATGATTGGAGATCTACTGCTACCTTTCTGTGTTGACTTCTACTTTAACTCCACTGTATGAAAAGAGTATAGTCCATGTATTTCCATTTTCAAATTTTATTTGAAATTTTTGAGACTTTATGGACCAGATAATTAATTTTTATACATATTCCATGTATCCTTGAAAAATATATATTCTGCAATTGTTGGAGTAGTTCTCTATATCTTTACAAGGCCAGGTTTCTTAATTGTGTAGCCCAAATTTCCTATTTTTTCCCTGCTTGTTATATTCTGACATGGACATATTAGAGATATTCCCTGTGACAGCTGACTTTTTTTCTTTTTTTTTTTTTTTGATGCAGAGTCTTGCCCTATCGCCCAGGCTGGAGTGCAATGGTGTGATCTCCGCTCACTGCAACTTCCAACTCCCAGGTTCAAGTAATTCTCCTGCCTCAGCCTCCTAAGTAGCTGGGATTACAGGCACCCACCACCACACCCGGCTAATTTTTTTTGTATTTTTAGTAGAAACGGGGTTTCACCAGTGTTGGCCAGGCTGGTCTCAAACTCCTGACCTCGTGATCCGCCCGCCTCGGCCTCCCAAAGTACTGGGTTTACAGGCATGAGCCACCACGCTTGGCCCAATAGTTGACTATTTCACCTTTAGTTGTGTTCATTTTTGCCTTAAATGTTTGAAATCAAATAATTTTTATATATAGAAACTTTTAATTATTTTCCAGGTGAATTAATTCTTTTATTATTGTAGAGTATCTCTTTCTATATTTAGTAATTTTTGCCTCAATGTCTACTTTCATATTTGGATAGATTTACTACTTTTGGATACTGTTTTCATCCTTTTTAAATGTGAATATATGTGCGTGTGCATGTGTGTGTATGTTTAAACAACATGATAAATTATTGTAATTGCTTTATGCAGTTAGAATTTGTTTACATTTATCCACATAGTTACTCTTTTTTGCTGTTTATCTGTTCCTGAATTTTTGAGCTTCCTGCTGGGATAAATTTCTTTCTATGTGATAATACTTATCACAGACTCATTTAATGCAAGAGTATTCTATAAAATTTCTATTGATTTGGTTTGTTTGAAAGTCTTTATTTTAACCTCATTTTTAAATGATATTTTGCTGGGTGTAGAATTTTAGACTGACAACTGTTTTCTTTCAGCACTATTAAAATATAGTTTTATGTCTTCTGTCTTCTAATTGTCTTGAGAGGTCAGCTATTAGTCTTGTTTTGCTGTTTTTGATGATAATCTGTCCTTTCTTATGCAAACTTTTCAATATTCCTCTTTGTCATTTATTTTCAACAGTTTTATTATTATATGTTTGTAGCAGACCAAATATCATCTCTCCCAATATTTATGTCTACCAAGAACTTCAGCGTGTGGCCTTATTTGGAAATGGGATGTTTGCAAATGTAATTAGGTAAGGATCAAGATGAGATCATACTGGATCTGGTTAGGTCCTAAATCTTAGGTGTTTGTACTTATAAGAGACAGAAGAAGGGCTGGATGCGATGGCTTACACCTGTAATCCCAACACTTTGGGAGGCCGAGGAGGGCGGATCACGAGGTCAGGAGATCAAGACCATCCTGGCCAACATGGTGAAACCCCGTCTCTACCAAAAATACAAAAATTAGCTGGGTATGGTGGTGCGTGCCTGTAATCCCAGCTACTTGGGAGGCTGAGGCATGAGAATGGCTTGAACCCAGGAGGCGGAGGTTGCAGTTAGCCAAGATCGCACCTCCAGCCTGGCGACCGAGTGAGACTCAGTCTCCAAGTCCCAAAACAAATAAATAAATAAAACAATAAAAAAAAAATGAGAGACAGAAGAAGGCCATATGAAGACAGAGCAGAGGCTGTCGTGATGCAGCCACAAACCAAGGAGCATAATGTAATTCCAGGAGATACTAGAACCCAAGAAATGGCAAGGAAGGATTCCTCCCTAGAAGCTTCAGAGGGAACACAACCCTGCTAATATTCTGATTTCAGAACTTCTGGCCTCCAGAACTGTAAGAGAATATATCTCTGCTGTTTTCAGCTGCTAAGTTTGTTGTGATTTTTAAATGACCGCCCTGGGGAAATAATACAATGGTTAAGTGTGTTTTCTTATGTGTATGTCTTATCCCAGATGGAGTATGTGGTACTTCCTCAAAGTGTGGTTTAATGACTTGTAAGATTTGGGACATTTTTAGCCATTTTCTTCAAATAATATTTCTGACCCATTATCTTTGTTCTCAACCTGGGACTCCAGTTACAAATAAATTTGACATTTTTCTTACATCTGCATATGTCTGGAATATTTTTTGTATTTTTTATCATTCATGTTCTCTGTGTTTCTTTCTGGTTATTTTAATCTTATCGATCTTTCAGCCTACCAAATCTCTCTTCAATTATGTCCAATCATCTATTAAAACTATGCATGAGGCAGATTAAAGACTTAAATGTAAGACCTAACACCATAAAAACTCTAGAAGAAAACCTAGGCAATACCATTCAGGACATAGGCACGGGCAAAGACTTCATGACTAAAACACCAAAAGCAATGGCAACGGAAGCCAAAACAGACAAATGGGATCTAATTAAACTAAAGAGCTTCTGCACAGCAAAAGTAACTATCATCAGAGTCAACGGGCAGCCTACAGAATGGGAGAAAATTTTTGCAATCGATCCATCTGACAAAGGGCTAATATCCAGAATCTACAAAGGACTTAAACATATTTACAAGAAAAAAACAACCCCATCAAAAAGTGGGCAAAGGATATGAACAGACACTTCTCAAAAGAATACATTTAGGCAGCCAACAGATGTATGAAAAAATTGCTCATCATCATTTTCACACAAAACAATCTTTGTTTCCATATCCTATGTAGCTAAGGGATTCACTTTGCATTGTCAGAAATTAATATGTTCTACTAAAGAAAAAAAGGCTAATCATTTCAGACTTTTCTCTTTAGCGGCACTAAAGCTCTGACAGTGCAGGTTTTTCCTTATTCCATCCCTGTCTATCTAAGTGGAAGACAGAAGGGCAGAGCTTTATTTTTTCCATTGATATGAATTGTATCACCCACTCACGAAGCAGCAAAAACTGCAGTGTGTTGTTTTTGTTGCTAATAGAGTAACAATTTATTTTTCCTCCTGCTAGATTAGTGGTAAATTCATCAAGAGCAAGGATGATATCTTAATGTTTCATTTTACATATTAGCCATCCAATAATTACTTGATGAGTGAATGCATAAGTGAAATAAAAACCGAGAGAGTAATACACGCCGAGAGCAGCTTTAAAATAGTGTTTCAAGGAGTCCTACAGTATAAGGGGTTGGAGGTTAATTGATCGTCGTTGAAATGCCACCATGAAGAGCAAACATTTTTCTTTTTGTTAAGAAATAAAAGATCAGGAAAAGATTAGATAATCTGATAGTTAGAAAATTGTTATTTGTTGGGCACTTGATTGGATATGAGTGATATTACAGGAAAGATTGTTTTCTCATCTTTGACTCAATGAAAAATAATTACATTCATTTAAAAAGTATGTTAAGCATTTACTTATTTCCACATCCTAATTGCAGAAGCCATACTGTTAGAGAAGCGTTTTCTTAAAGTTTTGGGTAAGTTGAGATATAACTTTATGTAAATACAAATTTTGTTGAACAATATCATAGTGCTTGTACCTCAGTAATAAGTAGGAACATTTAACACCTTTTAAACTGAAGAGAATAATATATGTGAAAGTACATGCATGAAAAGAACAAATCTAAAACATTAGTCTGAACAGAATTCACTTTACTCATATCCTATATATAGGTTGCTAGGCACACTCTACTGCAATCAAATAAAAGAAAATTATTTCAAACCTACTCACAACTCATTTGTTATTTTAAATTCTTCAAATCAGAATTTGGACGCATTGACAGGCTTAGGGGTAAAATTATGGTGTTCTATCATTTCTTAAAGAACAGAAGAATATTCTAAAACATGACAGCATATAAATGACACAGTACCCCACTTAAGCTTAGGCTTGGATATGTTAAGTCAGTCATTCAAGTTTGATTTGGGATAAGTATGTCTCCTCACACGCCCCAATTATCTTATATTGTGCTTCAGCTTTCTTTCCACCACAATATGCAAGTTGAAGTTTATTAAGTGGCAAGAGAAATGCAAGGAGAGAAAAAGGAACACATGTAGTATATAGCCTGGTGTGATGGAGAGACGACCTGAGATTATCTCCAGGATTACTGCCAACTGAGATGCACTACTTGAAGCTAAGGACAAGTCTTTGGGTATTAGCTACCCAGATTAAAATGGGAGATAAACTAGATGATTTTAATATCCTTTCCAGTTTTACTATTCTAATATCCAAATCTGTTACTCACACTAAAATCCCTTCCCCAAATATGTGCTATCTACACTCTAAATGTCAAAAATATTTTTTTCTGTAAACTGTACAATTCATATTCTCCAAATTTTATAAAGAGAAAATATCTCATTTGTTGATATTATTTGGACAACTTTTATTCTCATGGGTAAGAAAACAAATAGAGAATTTGTCTCTAAAACTTTTTGTCCATATTCACTTAACTTCAATTATCAATAAAAACATTAAAGCTTTACATAATGTTTCTACATATTCTCATTCATTTCCATAAAAATAAGATTTGAGTAATTACAATGATCTTCTTTCTTTTTATTCATTTATTTTTTTGAGATGGAGTTTTGCTCTTGTCGCCCAGGCTGGAGTGCAATGGCGCAATCTTGGCTCGCTGCAAACTCCGCCTCCCAGGTTCAAGCGATTCTCCTGCCTCAGCATCTGGAGTAGCTGGGATTACAGGCATGCGCCACCACCCCGGGTAATTTTGTATTTTTAGTAGAGATGGGGTTTCTCCATGTGGTCAGGCTGGTCTTGAACTGCCGACCTCAGGTGATCAGTCTGCCTCAGCCTCCTAAAGTGTTGGGATTACAGGCGTGAGCCATCGCGCCCGGCACAATGATCTTTCGAGATCACCTTATGGAGACTAGAATAGTAGCAAGTATAATATAAAGCAGGAACCTACTCAAGCAGTCTATTTAAAAGTGTACAAATGATAATTTTTTTCAGCCAAATCACTTTCATTTGTTTATGGACTATGCATTTTCACAGACTAATTTTGTAAACACTCACCAACTGAGAAGATAAAAATCATCTGGTAACATATAAAAAGCCAAGGGAAGCAGGTTTTGATTTTTTTCCTAATTCCATCAGAAATTATTTTATACTGTGGTGGCAACATTTACTTAAAAAGGCAGCAACATTTTTTTTTTTTTTTAGGGGCAACATTTACTTAAAAAGTTTTCCAAAATTCTAAGATCTTTTATAGCAAAATGTTAAAGAAACTTTTGTATTTATATTTGTACGGATCATGACAAAAGTTCTTAGGATTGAGAAAACTTCTAGCTCTTTTCTCTGTGACCAAAATTCTGCTGTTTTATTTTTGAGTGACTGTAAAGTACTTGAGGACATAGTTACTGCCTTCATCTCTCAAAGCAAGCAAATGCAGTGTAGGGTGTTATTTTTCAAATCTGTTTAGCCTCTGAGTCTTCCCTTCAAAGAAAACCATACATAAACAACACATTATCACCCAGCTAAGGATGGAACTGCCCCAGTTGGCACTGTGGGCTTATAAACTGAGCATGGTCTAAAAATCACTGGTGTAGTTGAAAGACCCTGCTTTAGAATCAGGTAGATAGGGTAGTTTAATACCAGATTTCCCACTTTCTAGCAGTGTGATCTTAAACAAATTATTTATCTCCTCTGACCTTTAATGTCTTTGTACAAAATTGTCTCCAAAAAGGGCTGCCAACAATATCTACTATCTCTCTATACACGTGGTGCTCATCTTATCCAGAGGTAGAGTCTGTTTCTCCCCAATTTAAATCTGAGCCAGCTTTGTGACTTGCTATGATTAATGGAATATGGCAGAATAGATGTAGTGCCAATTCTGGAACTAGGTTATAAGAGTTTAAGTGGTGTCTGTTTTCATGCTTGTGGAGCTATGGGTCACTATGTAAGAAGTGCAATTATCCTGATGGAGTTAGAGGCCACTCCGTCCTCCATTAGTTGTAGTCATCCCATTTGAGACACCAGACAAATGAATGAAGCCATCTGGGATGCAGCCATATAAGTGAACTCAGTCTTCACCCAGTGGAGCAGAAGAACCACTGGGCTGAGGCCAGCCAATTCACAGTATTATGAGAACCAATAAATTATTACTGTTTAAAGTTTCAAAGTTTTGTGTTGGTTTATTATACAGCAATGAAGAAAGCGTTCTTCATCTATGAACTTGAGATAATTATAATTAGTTGTTAGTGTTATTATAAGACTTTGAAATTTTATACATAACATAGCACCAATGTAGGTGCTTAATTCTTATTCTTTCTCCCCTTTTCCTCCCTTCAATTACTCTTATACACTTGGGGAAAGAGGACAACTTAAAATACACTGGTTCCTTCCAAAGCATGCCCCTCTTATCGTTTGCTAATCATCACAAGTGTTACTAGTTCGTTCTCACACTGCTGTAAAGGAATGCCTGAGACTGGGTAATTCATGAAGAAAAGAGGTTTAATTGACTCACCGTTCTGCAGGCTTTACAGGAAGCATGGCTGGGAGGCCTCAGGAAACTTACAATGATGGCAGAAGGCTAAGGGAAAGCAGGCACGTCTTACCAAGACAAAGCAGGAGAGAGAGAGTGAAGGGGGAGGTGCTACACACTTTTAAACAAACAGATCTCCTGAGAACTCACTCACTATCACGAGAGCAGCAAGGGAGAAATCTTCCCCCATGATCCAATCACCTCCCACTAGGTCCCTCACCCGACGCTGGGAATTACAATTTGACATGCGATACAGGTGAGGACTCAGAGCCAAACCATATCAACAAGTCTCAGCTGTGTGATAACAAGTGCTCCTCATTAAACAATTGTCTTTTAATCAGAGAAATGCAAATCAAAATCACAATGAGATACCATCTCAACCGGTCAGAATGGCTGTTATTAGAAAGTCAAAAAAACAACAGTTGCTGTCAAGGCTGTGGAGAAAAGGAAATGTTGAAACATTGTTGGTGGGAATGTACATTAGTTCAGCCACTTATGGAGGTTTCTCAAAGAATTTAAAACAGAGGTAACATTCGACCCAATGCTCAGTCGACCCAGCATTCGACCTTCAGCAAAGTTTTCCTCTTTCCCATACTGTACATGTGTTTCCCTCTCATCAAACATCTTCCCACATCTGTCGACATCTTAGGCGTTGGGGTTTAGAGGCAGGGGAAGAGAGTAATTGAAGGGAGAATAAGGGGAGAAAGAATAAGAATTAAGCACCTACATCGGTGCTATGTCATGTATAAAATTTCAAAGTCTTATGATAACAGAAATACGTTCCTCTGGGTATATATCCAGAGGAAAACAAATCAATACACCAAAAAAAAAAAAAAAAATGACATGCACTTGCATATTCAGCACAGCAGTTTCCCAACAGCAGACATGGGATCAGCCTAGGTGCCCATCAGCAGTGGACTGGATGAAGAAAACGTGGTACATACACACCACAGAATACTATGCAGCCACAAAAAAGAACAAAATCATGTCATTTGCAGCAACATGAATGCAGTTGTGGGGGGCACTATACTAAGTGAATTAATGCGGGAACAGAAACCCAAATATCACCTGTTCTCACATATAAGTGGGAGCTAAACACTGGGTACTTATGGACATAAAGATGGCAACAATAGGCACCAGACGCTGCGAATGGAAGGAAGGAAGAAGAGGGACATGGGTTGGAAAACTAATTGTTGGGTACTATGGTCAGTACCTGGGTGATGGGATCAGTCGTACCCTAAACCACAGCCTCATGCAGTATACCCATGTAACAAACCTGCACAGGTACCCCGTGAATGTAAAATAAAAGTTGAAATTATAAAAAAAGAATGATAGTATCTGAAAGGTACAATAATTAATAAACTTCTTTATCACATTTGTCTGAACCACATGAAAAATTAAAGATGTGTGTAAGGAGGGGCATGAAGATATTACCACAATTACTGGTTGAGGCTATTTGGAGGTTTTAACTTGGTATAGAACCAAAGAGATTTCCAAACGCTGAGTCCCTGTTACACAATTACACCAGTAGTCCCAGGCATTATTAGTCTGGTAGTGCCTTCGTCTGCTACAGCCAACAGCCTGGCAAAGCGGGGCTGAGAACCACCCCTGGAAGTCAGAGCATCAAGGCAAAGAGGGGTCAGGAACTACACTCGTAGCTTTCTCTGCGCATGGATGGGAGGAAATGCCAGGAGTGGTGAAGAAACATGCCTCTTTAACAACAACTTCTGTCCTGCTCCAGATTTTCAATTCTACAGCTGTGGAGTATGATATGGACATTGTAGTGCTTGGGAATTCTTTTTCACTCTCTGCTTGTTTATGTCGTTGCATAAACCCCCCAATATACTTATGCGATGACTAAGTACAAATACGTATTTTTAAAAATTCCTTTTTCTGGAGTAATTGCCTAGCAAATGGCTCTGCTATGGTATAATTGTTAGAAAAATAGACCTTCTTTACAAAAAATTATTAAAAAAAACAACTTTGTCCTCAAAACTGTGTGTTACCAAAATGCCCTCACAGGCCATTTGAATAGCCTCTCTATTGCTTAGCTTGCAGGATTTGCTCTTACACACTAAAACATTAATGGCATACAGTAAATTTCCACTCATTTGCAAGCCTTTCTAGTGAGTAATAATGTATTTGCTCTATGATTTTAATTGCAAATTGTGCCCTTAGAACTCCTCAGTAAATATTTTCTTAGTAAAGTACTGCAAGCGCATATGCATCTATCATGCCGGTCAGTAAAATATTTGCATTTAAGTAATATCACATGAGATAAAAGCAAGCAAATTTCCATGTTGAAATTTTCATCTGTTCTCACCATTATTCTAGGAAGACAAGTTCTAATAGAAGTCTCCATAATTTAACTCAGTTTAGCTCTTCTAAGAAAAAGAACCTGTTCCAGATGTGATATATGACTGGGTGCCTAGACATTTTGGTTTGCCCAGGACAGGTCGGGTTTACGCCAGTTGTCTTGGCATAATTATTGATAGTGCTTTCTTTCATTCATAAACGAGTCTAGGGCTTGGACAGTAAATTATATAGTTATTCTATATACAACTCTAGTATTTGATCAAGATTAACTACCGAGCGTATATGAAGATCTAGGCTCACAAATAATGAGATCTCAGGATTACATCATAGTACATTTACTAGCGCTAAATGTTACTGTTACAAGTGCAAAGAAAAGAAAATAAAAACCCTTTACAATGGCACCCTGAAGTATATTTTCAAGCCATCCAAAGTAATAATGACATTTTGGGGAAATAACTGCAAGGTAGGATTCTAAATGCTTCTGATGCTTGACTATTTGACCACCAGAATGTGGCCAAAAGAGTCAAACATTTATAAGCAGGACGACTTGATGACAAAGAGAGTGTGGGACATATGGTATTAAGAACAGAGGTAGGTGTTGCAATAATTTATATCTTGGAACTATGGTTTATTAATATTGATTAATATCCTGTCTTTACAAAAAAAATACAAAAATTATCAGGGCATGATGGTGTGTTCCTGTAGTCCCAGCTACTCAGGAGGCTGAGGTGGGAGGATCACTTGAGCCCGGGGGGTGGAGCTTGCAGTGAGTCACAATCACATCCACACACTCTAGCCTGGGCAATAGATGAGACTCCGTCTCAATAAATAAATAAATAAATAAATAAATAAAATAGAAGAAATATAATCCCCAATGAGATGATATTTGGAAATTGTACCTTTGGGAGGTAATTGGATTATGAGGGTGGCAACTTTATAAATGGAATTAATGTCCTCATGAAAAGAGACCAGAACAGTAGCTTACTCTTTCTGCCATGTGACGATACATTGGCAAGATGGCCATCTACATACAACCTGGAAGAAAGCCCTCGTCCGAATCTTACTACACTGGCACCTTGATCACAGGCTTCCAGCTTCCAGAACTGTGAGAAATAAATGTATGTTGTTTGTAAGTCGCTCAGTGTATGGTACTTTGTTATAGCAGCCCAAACTGATTAAGACACTAATGTGGATTTGTCTACATTTTCAAGGAAGAGAAAATAAAAGTCTTGATTTTTTCCAGAGGACACAACTAGAGAAGCTGTACCTACAAGGATGCATTCTGTGTCTGACGAATGATTGAATAACTTGAGCTCATTTAACTGGCAGTGTCTTTTACTTAATATTTGTCAGAAAATTTAAATTTGTAAATAGGATTAGATAAATAATGGATTTTAAAAGCAAAAGCACACGAAAAACATTTTCTTTAAAAAAGGAAAACCCTTGTTCTTAGATTAGACTGACTTTATAAACAATTTTCTTATAAGTTATTGGAGGAAGCCTCTGATTATAAGGGCAACAAATAGTTTAATAGATGTTGATGTCTAAGATGAATTGGCTTAATAGTTGGTGTTGAGGGGCTGCCATCACCATTTCAGTATTTTAACATAACATACTCTTCATAGGCACTTTGCCATCGGGTTGAATAATTTGCCACGCAGTGAATAATTGAGGAAATGTTTTCTCTATGTCTTTGGATTGACATAAAACAAAAACAAAAACAGATGCCACTTAGGGAAATTGCCACGGATTCAACTGCCTTGCCCCACAATTCATATGTGGAAGCCCTAACCCCCACTTAATGGTATCAGCAGATGGAGCCTTAGAAAGGTAATTAGGTTTAAATGAGGTTGTGAGAGTGCGGCCCTCATGATGGGACTAGTATCTGGATGAGAAGAGACACCAGAGCTTTCTCTCTCTCTCTCTCTCTAGACATTTTGGTTTGCCCAGGACAGGTCGGGTTTACGCCAGTTGTCTTGGCATAATTATTGATAGTGCTTTCTTTCATTCATAAACGAGTCTAGGGCTTGGACAGTAAATTATATAGTTATTTCTCTGTCTCTGCCATGTAAGGGCACATCTGGAATGAGGCCGTCTGCAGGTCAGGAAAGAAGAGATGCCTCACCAGAAACTGACCATGTTGGCACACTGATCTCACACATCCAGTATCCAAGACTGTGAGAAAGTAAATTTTCCTTGTTTAAACCACCCAGGCTATGGCATATTTTTATGACAGCCCAAGCAGACTAAGACAGAAATAAAGGAAATCAACCACAGTCTTTTTTATTTTTTTTGAATAAATTATTTTTGCCTAAATTAAGAAAATACTAAAGATAGCAGCCCTTCTTAATATTTTATCTTCAATAGATAAATGCATCTTTGAAGAAGTCATCCTAATTGCATTACCAGGGAGTGAAAGGATCTGTTTTTTATATTACTCCAGTTAATTTTTTTCAGCTTTATATCTACAATGAAAAGACTGAAGAATTAAACATACTTTATGAATTAAAGAAAAATAAGCTCAAGCTAAAAATAATCCATGTTTAAATGTTTGGATGCTGAAGTAAGGATTTATTATTGTGTTGAAGGTTAAACCAGATGACCTTTCTAAACCTTTCCAGTTCTAAATTCTGTAATTTAAGAAATTGTCACTGTGTTTAACTGTTTGCTAGGATCCAATTAGCCATCCTGTCAGGACCTTTGTGAACCCAGCAGAAATTATGCAAACTTGAAATGAGAGTTAACAAGGAGTCGGGTAACTCCTTTATCTGGCATGAGGAAATTCATTTAATAACACTAGGGCAATGCAATTGCCTTAATTGCCTGAGCAATGTCATTTAAAGTTAACCAAGTGCATATGAACATATAAAGAACTGCACAGAAAATAAAGATGAAGTATATTCTAGACTTACATTATTCATGGAAGACTAAATTTAGACAGTCAATTTCATGAATTTATTGCTCAGTTTCCAGGATAACTGTCAAGAAATAAAATGAAAATAATTATACCTTTAGTCAAATATGATTCTAGAATCTCTATTTTATGCAATCTATAGATTATTCTTGAAATATGCAATCATGTGTATGTATATATGAAGCTCTTTTTAAATTACTTTTGTGTACACATATTTAATTCTGTTTACATAACACATGCATAAATTAGTAATCAATTTCTAAAAAATGATTAGTGTATGAGTTGACTTAGACAAAGCATGTTGAATTTGGCATAGTGAAATAATACTTGTCAAAAATGTAATAATCTATGACAAGTAAATGTAAAATGAAATCTGTCATACAGAAGCTTAAATTTCATTCAAAATAAAGATAAAATATAGAAATATATTTTTTAAAGCAACTCATGGTAGTAGAGATCTTTTAAGTTACTTTTTAAGCTATTACAATTATTGATATTATTAGTATTTGCCACACAGTGAATAGGAAAGAGCTTTAGGGTACCATTTTTCATGCTAAATTTGATTAGATGATGGTGCTGCCTGTGATGGTGATGAGGTAGGAGGTCAAAGACCCAAAAGATTAGTGAAGACAGGATTATCAGGAAGACGCTTATGGACAAAGGTTGCCTTTGATCTGGACCTCAAATAATGTGTAGAATTTGGATAATCAGATAAAAATTTAGAAATTCTGCTGATGCAGGACAGACAAGCCACCGAACTGGGGCTTAGTCCAAGAGGGTTCTTGGCTTTGTTCAGGAAAAAATTCAAAGGCAAGCCAGTGTGGTGTTAAACAGCAGCTTTGATTGAAGGGGCAGTGTGCCGCAGAGGCAGGGCAGGGGTTGCGGAGCAGGGCTACCCCATAGACAGTGTGCCCAGAGGAGCAGCTGAGAGGTAGGCCTGCAGTCATATTTATAGCCACTTTTAATTATATGCATATTAAAGGCTGGAATTTGCAGAAATGTCTAGGATGAGAGTGGCAACTTCCTACCTGTTGAGTTGTTGCAACGGAAAGGAGTGGTGACTTTCAGGCATTGCCATGGCAATAATAAAATGACATGGCACACTGGTGGGCATGTCTTATGGGGAGGTGCTTCTACCTTGATCTGTTTTTGCAATTCCTCAATTTGGTCGAGTGTCTAAGCCCTGCCTCCGGAGGCGGATTCCAGCTTTTTCCTCACTACCACTCTGAATGAATTAAAAACCAATAGTTTTCATATTTTCCTTTTTCAAAGTAGAAAAGGCATAACTTCTTTTCTGATTATAGAAGTAAAGATCGTATGAGAAAGATGATGGGTGGTGAGGCTGTGAGTGTGGTGTATGTGTGGGACAGAGAAACAGAAATTTTCCTTTTTTGACCATGTATTCATGAACACTGAATTGATGGTTATCAAATAATTACTGGTTGAATGGAAAAGTATGCATAGGAAATATTTTTGTAATTCAATCAAGTTTTTCTTCTCTAACATGTACAGAATTGTACTGTATGTAGTCAGGACACATAGCTGAGAAGTCAGCATAATTATCCAGGATTGAAAAATGTGTAAGGTCCCTGCCTCAAAAAAGGCCTCACTAGGGAACACAGATTTACAGTCAACAACTCTGGATGGATGAATAAGAGTCATATGAAATTTTCTGGAAGTGTCCCTTTCTACTTCTGAGTTCAGCTTTTTATACATGCATCTTAAATTCAAGAAGTTGGAGCATTCCCGCCTATGGCCTTATGTGACTAGATGTAAGCAACACTTGACCTGGGCCATGAGTGCCTGATAAACTCTGCAATTTATCAATGCATCATCTGATTGCAAAATGCAGTATATAACGTTTTAGGCACAAAATTGTCATCCAGGCTAATTCATCCTTATCTGAGTCCATATCTCAGCTCAATGTCACTGTATTAGAACAGAGGATACTTTCCTCTGACATCTCCAGGAATCATGTAGCACACTATTACAGTAGCTATAAAGAAGCATTCTAAAATAAACACAGAAAATAATTAGTAATAATTTGGTATATGTTCTTCTACTTTTTTCTCCATATATGCATATATGCTCACACCTACTCACTCAAACATAGATAGAAACAAAGGGTCAAACTATATGTGCTGTTTTCTAAATAGCTTTAAATCATCTTAATATACCAAGGGCATATTTCCATGTAAAAAATATAGAGAACTGAGTCACTATCTTAAATGTAACTTCTAACTTCCTCTCTTTCTCTTCATCATACTGGCGTGGTAAAACCTCAACACTGGCTTAAGGCATAATCACCTGCTCTGCATGTGCAGAATGTGTTTGGAGGGAACATCACATGGACTCAGTTTGCTTTTAATGCATTGCTACAAACCTTCGCTGAACACTCAGCACTGCCTTGGCAAGCCTAACTATTTCCTTAGTTAATTTGGTCTTCTGCTTTGTTAAGTCAACTATTTTTCATTTTATCCTCTCTCCAATTTCTATTTTTGAGAAAAGAACTTCTTTTTTCTTCTGCCACAAATGTCCAGCCTAACAGTAGTTAGGATTCCTCTGTTTCCCCACCAATCGTAATAAATTGTCCTTGCTCATCATTATGGCCTAACTCTTCACTTGAACACTGCAGCTCATGCTCTGCTTTCTATTAAAGGTTTTTACTCCTACAATTATCTTTTTTTCTCTCTGGCATCATCAGTTTCTTTTCTCACCTAATGGATCATTTCCATCAACATGCAAACGTCATAAAATATTTTCAGTCTTAGGGAAACATCCCTTCTCTTAATTACATCCTGTCCTTCAGTGACCACCATTTCTCTGCTCCTTTTTCTAACAAAATCTCTTGAGAAAAGTTGTCTATATAAGCTGTTCCCTATCTTCAAAGTTTTTATTTTTCTTGAACCCACTCAGATTAAGCTTTTCGTTACACATATCTGGGTCGTGTGAAGAAGCATTTCACAGGGTGTTTGCCAGGTCCTTTTCCCCTTTCTGTCGTTTAAATGTTGGCCTGCTCCTAGGTTTCACTTTTCCACCATGGATTTTCTTATCTTCACTTTTTCCTTAGGCAATTTCACCCATTCCCAAGGCTTTACATACCACATACACACTCAAGTTTCTTTGCAAACTTCTTCCCTGAACTGCAGATTCATATATCCATGTAGAACATATATCCCACTGCCACTTCACAGGTCTCTTTGGATGTTTCAGAAGCAACTTAAAATCAACGTGTTTTAAAAGGAACTTTTATATCATCCCTTGCCTTGTCACAATTTTCTAATTTTTTTCTGAAGACACTGATCATTGCTCACCACCTAGTTTCTATTAACACTTTTTCTTTCCATGCAGAATCTTGATTCTGTTCAGGCTGGCTGTGTGCCCAGTTAAAATTCTCATCTGCTCAGGACTGTATCATAACGGCAACCCTAGTCTCATGAAAAGGACTGGAGGAAATCCCTTTTATTCTATTCTCTCGAAGAATGTGCGTAGCATAGCTATCAACTGTTCATTGGAAGTTTGGTAAAACTCACTCATAAAACTGACTGTATGTCATTTTGTGTGTGTGTGTGTGTGTGTCAGAAAGTTAAATAGGATTCAATTTAAAGGAGAAAATATAACATATATATACTTACATTTGAATGGAAACTGTTAATTATGAAAGCCTAACATGTAACAGAAAGATTTATCAGTTTATTTGGGCAGAGTAGCTCAATTGGCCACAAAGGGTATACAAATATTTTGAATATACAGGTAAATGGTATAATGAGCACATTGCCTGGTATATAGTGAACACTCAATAAATCCTGAAAACTGTTAATGTGATTTACCAAAGAAATTCTGTGCTAAAGAGACTATTGAGAATCTTATTCTAGCTTTTGAAATTAATAGGCAATCTAATAAAATTGAGATTCATAAACTCAAGTTTCTGTCGAGTTTTAAATCATTAACATATTATTCTTTTTATATATCTTGCTTATGAATTTTTTATTTTATGTATAAGTTGTGCATTTTTTAATGATCACTGTAGTGAGCTTTGAATAATACTGGTTTCTGTTTACAACTGGATTTGTAAGTTAAATGTATTCAATTTATCTCATCTTGTTTGATGCTTTCCCAAGTATTTAAATAATTATTCTAAAGTTAATCAACTTTAATAAACATAGTGAAACTAAAAGTTCTTCTAATTGGTTTAATTCTAGATATAAACTTGTAACATTTCTTCTAACAATCACAAGTCTAAATTAGTTACTCAATTACACATTTTAAATGGAAATTACAAAGCCATCACTCTACTAGGCCATTTTCTCAAAGTATCAAAACCGCACAGCTTCCTATGTATAAAATATTAATGCTATAGTTTTGATTCTCAGTTAACTGAAATTACTTTTGACCAGAGATGTCTCCTGAGTGTGACTTCTAGAGGTGTAGACATCCAAGGTGATTGATCTCAACCCCCACTAAAGAATCATAATTTAGAGAGTTACCTTCTCAGTGTGCTGGACAAAGCAGAAAGACCCCAAATTTTGGCCAGTTCACCAACTGGATTCTTGTTGGTGACTACAATGAGATGTGTGCACAGACCCCAATGGAAAATTTTATATCAGTGATTCCATAATGCTTTAAATTTGATTTACTCCAGGACCTTAAGGTGTCAGTAAAACAAGTTACCTAATTTTTTCCATTCCTTCCCAAGCTGGCAGTTTCCAATCCAGTATTCAACTGGATTGGATTTTGCATTTGCCTATTAAGCTATATAAAAGTCATCCATCTAATTCTAATAAGCAATTGGTCTGATATAAACCTAAATTATTATTTTTTTGCACATCATGTTTTAGGGCCACGTATTCTTATGGACTTTAACATGATGCATGATTGAAATTTGGATCCCTCTCGTGGTTACAACTTCTAAAGTTTTTTGTTGAAGACTAACTTGAACAGTTAAATGTAGTAACTGCGTACATGCTAATGTACTTGTTGAGTACATTAAATAAAGTGAAATATTTAGAATAAGAGAGCTCTTGCACAATTGTACACTGATTAGCAATACTTCATATGTTGTGTCAACTTTAGGAAGGATTTCAACAAATTAAAGCTTGTAGAGGAGGCTTTGAATGAGAGAAACCTGAAAACACTTACACTGAAAAAAAAGAGATTTGAAGCCGAAATGGGAACTGTCTTCAAATATGAGAAATATCAGAAAAGCAGAAGAAACTGTCTGCCATGCCTCAAGGACAGAACTATGGCCCATGAGTGAAGTGTGGCTGATAAATCGTCTCAACATGTAAGATAGTTGAAAATCTGAAAATAAAATAGGCTGCTTCCCAAGAGAGTGAATTGAAGAAACTTAAGTATAAGCCCAGGAATTGGATTAGGGGGTGTCACACATTTATTCAAATTGAACATCTATGCTTCTATGAAGTTTAAGACATGTAGATTATCTGGTACATATACTATTAATGAAAGAACTTTGAGACCAATGGATGTTGGCATTTTCTTTATCCACATCCACATTAATAAGTTCATAAGGTTATCATAGTGTAGTCATGCTACTGTAACTTATTACAGCTGTCTAACATTGATGATTAAAATGAAAAGTCAAGGCCTAAGTTCCCAGATGTAGAGAGGAATGAGGACAGTGATGCATGTATTGTTTAGAAGGATGACACCGTCAGAAAAGGCAGCTGTAATTAGGTAAGTTGGTTATTTTTGTAAAGATGAGTGAGTTGACTGATAACTACAATATAGAGAATTTTACCCATGGACAGAATAAGCCCACACAGTCATGGTGAAAAGCCTAATCAAATTCAACTAATCATGGTGAATTCACATGGGAATATGGGTCAGACGGGAAATTCAAATAAGTGTGAAGTTATAAAATTTAGAAGAAAAAAGATGTTAAACAAATATAATTCTAGGCATACCTTACAATGCACAAATATAACACAAAAACCTGGCAATTGTAAAATAGAGGGCAAAATACTACAGTGAATAAATCACAGTTAAGAAAACTAGCATGAGAGTTGGATACAATAAAATAGTAATGTTGAATTTAAATGTAATGTGGTGACCTTTCTTATTATGTCTTGAATTTTACAATGAATATAGACCATGAAAAGCTTGCTGTGGTTTGGATTTCATCCACATACAGTTTAGATTAACTTCTTATCTTCCCACTCTAATTTTGTCAGCGGCTACATTTTATAGCTTTGCGGTTGAGCTCCAAAAAGGTGATTAAAATTCAACTAATAAAAAAAAGAAGAAGGAAATTGGGGTGATTTGGTCTGGAGAAGAGAAGGCTGGGGAATGATGTCATTCCTCTTAAGCAGATAATGGTAACTAGGCTATTTCTATTTCCTCACATTATAGAATAATAAGTGGAAGTCTATAAATTTTCTCTATAATTTTTTTTTTAAAAACTGAGTTACATGCCTAATGCATTTTCAGATGTTGGGCGGTGTGAAGTTTATTAAAAGTCAAGGACTTATTAAATAGTCTCTCAATATATCTTCTATTTTTGTAATACAGTTAGTTATCTTTTCACACACCTTCTTTCATATAGTATTGTATCTGTTTCATTTTTCAAGATGTGTTATTTTTGGTGAAGTTAGTTTCTTACGTTACCTTAAAATTAAAGTGACCAACATTGAGTTTAAATTCTATTATTTTGCAAATATTAATATATTCCTTTCAGACTTCAGAATTATTCCTCTTGTTAAATTTTATGAACAGCTAAAGGTTATTTCAAGTTATATCAAGTCAGTAGGTTCAGAGAACAAGTTCTGGAAATTAAATGTTATGAAGCTTGCCACTTATGATAACGCAGGTTTGTTGTTCTCTTTATGTATGATTTAAAGAAAAATGACCTGAATAAAAAACAGCTATCTATGTCTATACCTGTGTCTATATTTATATGGCTTCAAACATTTTATATGAATATGTATTTTTATATATGTGTGTGAATATGTACATATTCATATACTTAAAGGTAAGAAGGAAGCAGAATAATACAAAATGGATCTTTCCAATCATTTGTTCATGAAAAGTGTAAGTATTTGCAATCTCTTCATACTCCTTTAAAGTCAAAAATCAATGACAAGGAGGTAGTAGAGTTCGGAACAGATACAAATCCATTTTGAGTAATAGATATACAAAAGATGATTGAGTATTGCCTACTGAGTTAATGAGACCATTGAAGATAAGGGAGAGATATGTGGAAACACAGTCCATTTCTTTAACATCTGCTTGTTTTCTTATTTCAAGGAAAATAAATATCTTGTATGTATAAGGAAGATGATAGCATTTAGATAATGTCAATGATAATCTTTTGTGATGCTGGAATGGCAGGTAGATATCTTTAATAAAGATCTATGTGGACTGTGTAGAGGCTTAAGGTTGAAAATAACATAAATGACAGAGGAAAGCTCTTTCTAGGAGATTGCAGCTGAGGGAATCATTTTGTGTAAGTTACTGTCTTAAACTTAAGTGAGCTTAGATAAAGAAGGAAAAAAAGTTTATACTGCTATATACAAGTTCAATATACATTACAATGTTCAAGTTGAAGTTTACGAACATCTGATATTAGATTTAAAATAATCTTTTCAGTAAGTTCACTTAAATAAAATAGTTTTATAAGACAGAACATTAGCAATCTTAAGTTTTAAGCTTTGTTAATTTAATCTGTTAAATTCACAATTAAAAAACATTCAAAGAGCAGATATTTGTTTTTCTTAATATTAGCCAGAAGTCAGATTCTTTACAAAGTCAACACTAATACTAAAAGTAGGTATTTGACAAGTAAAAATCCAATGTAAATAGGAAATATTCACTTTTTAAAGTAAATTAATTATTCCCATATAAGTGAGCTTCCAGCTATAATTATTCAGATTTTACAACACTTAATTCTCATCTGTTAATGCTTTGATTTATTCTTATTTCCTCCCATAATTTATATTCTCATACTGAATGATTCTATTTACTAAAGTTCAAAGACAAGCAGAACTAATCAATGGTGTTAGAAGTCAAGATAGTGATTATCTTTGGAGAGGAAGGGCAGCTACGTTTGGGAAGAGGCTGTAGATACAGCTTCTTAGACTTTGCAACTTTCTTGTATAATTCTTGTTTAATTGGACCATATACAATTCTTGAGATAGGTGGAGGTTGCAATAATAGATTCATTTTGTATAATTAACTGAGCAATATAATCAAGACTCAACAAATATTATTTGAGAACCTACCACATACCACACATTAAAATAGGCTTTTGTTATAAAATACCACACACAATAGACACTGTCCCTGTCATCAAGGAGTATACAATCTAGTGGTGAACACAGGCAACTAAACAAGTAATTACAATGCAGTGGGATCCATGTGAATGATAAATAATACATGGTATGGATTTTAGCAAAAAAACTTCCTGTATAATGTGTCATTTAAGTTAAAACTTGAAAGACTGGCAGAGTTTTTTTTCTGGAAAAGAAGGTTGAAAACATGTTCCTGTAGAGGAAATAATGTATGCAAGAGCCAAGAAATGAGAGACTGAATTGGTCTTTTATCTAACTGGAATTGGTACAGACTTGCTCAAAATTCAAGTACTCAAGGCAGAAATATTCATTTTTTTTCTATTCTTTGCAACTATGTTTGCAATTTCTTCTTAATATAGTTTGTATATTGGAAATACACAAGCATTTCCTCTTCAGCTGCTGTATTGGATAAGTTGCAGGCTAAGCTAGTTGCTCCAAAAGGATTCCAAAACACAGCGACTCAAAGAGCTAAAATGTCTCTATCTGATATGCAATAGTCTGGAGTTTGCTGGTGGTTTAGGGAAAGAAAGTAGCTTTCAACCCAGAAAAGTTATTTCAAGATCATTTATTTCAGCTTCTCGTTCCCAGGGAATTGTCCTCATTTGACTGTTTAACACTGACAGCTCCTTGTCTGTCTTCTACTCCATGGGAAGAGGGAGAGAGATTAAGATTACAGCATTTTTTGGAGGGGAAATGATGCAAAAGTTTTATGCGTAATTTCTACTCATCTTCTATTGGTAATAACATGGTTATATGGCTGCACTTAGCTGTAGGGAAGGTTGGAATGTACAGTGTCTAGCAGAGTGGACTTGTGGCCAGCCACCCTCTATTATTCTAGAAGAGGGGCAGAAGGACTCAGGGAAAAACTAGCAGCCTATCAAAACTGCCCACTTCTAAAGCCCCTTTGTGGCAGTGTGAAAATGTCATAAAATAAATGCAGATCAGTAGGTGGCAGATCACGAGAGGCCTTTTATATCAAAATTAAGTATTCATATTTTATTTTGAAGACAGTTTGGAACTGTGTAGGAGTTGTAATCAAAGGAGTGTCACGGTCACATTTTCATTTTAGGAAAGTACTCTCTGGATGTAGGTTTGGGAAAATACCAGAGGGACGGAGGCTGCTTTTGATGGATTGGCTAAAATCTGCTTGAGATATTATGGTGAAGAGAACTAAAGGAATGAGTAGAGCATAGAGGAGATCAGATGCAGAGAAATACATGAGCTTAAGTGGTTAAACGCACAGTCATCACTTAGATGTGAGGAAGGAAAGTTTACGAGTAGACAATGATGACACCAAGGATCAAGGCTGGGTGGAGTTGTGGCCTTCTCTGAGTACAGGGAAGGAGTATTCAGTCAGACAAGTAAGTACAGATGAATTTAATGTTGGACCTATAAAGCTTTAATCACTGTTCTAATTAAGTAAAACTGTGCAGGACCAAATTGAGCTTAAAAGCACCTGTTCAAAGCTGTTCTTGACAAATTAATGGGCCTAGAATGGGACGCTGAGGAAAGCCAACATTTAAAGGTAGTCAGAGAAAATGGGAGCAGTGATCACTGACAGATTTTTAACTAAATAATAATCTATCAAGTTCATCTAAATACAATTAACCAAATATAACTTCATGGAAGAGGAAGGCAACATATATACGGATGACTTCTATACTGATGATTTCTCAATCTGTTCACTAAAAATACTGCGCATTGTCTACCTGTAGTTTACAATAATTTCATTTTGTTGAAGATACCTGAAAAATCAGCTTTTCAGTGAGTTGCTGAAAAAGGATATTGCTACTCCATAATTCAAGATTAGGTAAATTGGGAGAGGAGAAAACTAGAAATTTGTAGTTTATTTGTTTAAATGGTGAGAAGTCTCATAAAATATGGTGTAATCAACAGCGGTAAATGCTCAGAGTTCAAGAAAGCTGAAAGCTGAAAAAACGACCAGAAGATTTGGTAAGAAGGCCACCACTGATCCATGAGATCAGTTTGATTGGGATGGTAGGGGCAGAGGTTGGATTAAAGGGTATTAAAGATAGATCAGAGGTGAAAAAATGTAGATTCACAGTGTAACCTCTCTTTTCCAAAGTATGGTTGTAGAAAGAATAATAAGGCTAGCAACTATAAGGAATCGGGATTTCCGGAAAAGCATTTATTTATTTATTTTTAAAAGGAGAAACTTGAGAATGTCTGAATGGAATAAAGAAGGATTCCTTTGGGAAGAAGGTGAAATATACAGCCCAGAGTGGTCCTTGAGAAGGTGGAGATAGGAGACTCCCACAGAAGAGATGCGCTGTACTGAAGGAAGATCCATTTTTCTTTTTAACAGCAGAGAAATAAAAAAGAATGATTTCAGGGTTTTAAAAATTATTATTTCAGATTATTGTTATTGCTTTTGCATTATTTCCAGGAAGAGAGATAGAAAATGTCAGCTTTGTGCTCATGTTTTGATATCAGAATGCTATTGTTTTTGTTTGTCTGTCAATGGAAGAGTTTTTATTGACTACAACTCAAGCAAAAGCATAAAGAAGAGGCAATCATTTAAAAACACCAAAGTCTACTAAGAATCCTGTTGGGCTGTGCCTGGGAGGAAGGGCAGGCTTCATTTGCTTCGTTCCTTGGAGTCTCAGAATTTCTGCTGAATGTAGTCATAGAAGTCTTTCTCACTATCTGTTGAAAGAGGTTCTCCAGTAAGAGGCAGCTCATGTGTTTATTGATTCTGAAGCCCTTGTCTAGGGCAGGAGCTCTCATATTCCTACTGAAAATAGCACTGCCAGTGAAACAGAGAACATCAGAGTAATGCTGATTATTGGCTGTCAACTTCGTACCAATGTTTCTATGTGAGTATTCCTTTCATCATTTTTACTTGGAAGCTGGCAAAACACGCTTCTTCGGCATTAACAAGTTACTATACAACTCAACCTCCACCTTCAAATGACTAGAAAATGTATTGTTTTTTGTAAGGGGAATTTGATACCAATAAATTCCGTTCAATTATTCATTCTACTAATGAAGCATGCTACTCCTCTATTATGAATCTTCAGACAAATATATGCAATTATTCAGCTGTTTTTCTAAAGCAACAAATCTACATTTTCCACAATTGTTGATTGTTTCTTATTTATAGCAACATGTTCTTGTTTTATAGATATGGCAACTACTTTCTTTCTGGATATAAATTGTACTGATTTTAAAATCTTATTTTTAAATTTCCTCATTTAGGTCATATGTGTGTTCAATCTTTTTTCCTAGTTTTTATATTGCTTGTTTTTATCAAATAATTGGAATTCTTTGACATTTGTTCCCTCTCACAAAGGACAGAGCTGGTTCATAAGTATTAACAGGTATAGTGTGTATTTCTCTGCTTAAAAAAAACTTTTCTTGTCTTTTTTGTCAGTGAGACTCACAGTAATTACAAGATACCCCATTTAGTGGGTCAGAGAATGTAGGAATATGCTGCCTGGGAAGTATTTTTCTGGAGTGATGGGGGAACATGCTATCTATAATGAGCTTGCAAGATGATGTATTGTGGAGAACAGAAATTATTTAAGGCTTCTCTTTGCATGCTGGTATAGTCTCTGAGGTCACTATGAGATTGCCCTAGTTATCAATTTACCATAAAGGCAAATGCTGGACCCAATAGCTCTGACTGTAGGAGCTCATAACCCTTTAATCAATTTACCAACCAACCTGGTCCACTGGCACTCTCAACATTAGCTCTCTGTGATCTAGAGTAAATTGGAGTGCTGCTGAGGAAGTCCCTTTATTGGGTGGAAAGCTATGAAGCACCACTGGATCTGGCCATCAATACAATTCCATAGGCTTCCATCTTATAGAAATTTGTCAAATTTTAAACAATACTCTTCCCAGCTTTATAGTACTTTTAGCTTAAAAACAATTTCTCCATCATTATCTGAGCAGGATTGTACTAGAACCCTTCCTTTCTTTTTCTAGATCCATATATCTATTTGGTATGATTTTACTTGTGCCAGAATAACTTCCTTGGTAGTGCAGTCTTCAGTCTCCAATTGGATTTCAAATCCTTGTTATATGGCTAGTAGGACACATGCTGTCACCTTTATCAAAGTTTGCCTTTTGTGGCTGAGTCAAGCTGTCCACTCAACTTTAACATCTCCACAACCCAAGTGACAACTGTAATCCATCTCAATTAGTATTGTTAATGATGTTGAGACATCACAGAGTCCATAGTATTGTAAATTTGAAAACTTCCTATTTTTCTGATGTCTTAACATCCTCACAAACACACTGTGAGCACCCTGTCCAGGCAAGCAGGTGCACCAGTGTGATAAGGTTGGTCCCCACCACTTGTTCCCCTTCTTGCCCTCCCTTAACTGTGACCTAGTAACACTGCAAAGCACTGATAAAGTCCCCTCATGCCTTACGCTTGTGAACTCTACCCTGACTTTCAATAAAGGCACTTGCCCTCAGGTCTTCACTCGCCACTCCCAGCTCCAACCTTGTTTGGTTGAATCCACTTCCTTGATGTTCTTTCCACATGGTCCCCTGCATGGCATGCTATGTCTCCCTCTTCTAAAACCTGTGCATATAATCTATCCCTGAATTGCATATACCTCTCTAAATATAATTTCCACAGTCTTGTCAGAGTGATCTCTAAAGATCCCCCAAGCAGAACTTACTTCCCCATATACAACACAGAGTCCAACTTCATTCTTTCCCATTTGGATCCAGTTTTCCCAGAACCACATTTGTTGAAAACACAATCCTTTCCCCATTGAATGATCTTGATTTCCTTGTCAAAAATCAATTGACTATGTATACAAAGTCTGAGGACTCCATTATGTTCGGTTGGTCTTTATATCTACCCTTATGCTAGCACCACTGCTTTGATTATTGTGATGTAGTAATCTTTGAAATCAGGAAGTATGAATCTTCCAACTTTGCTTTTCTTTTTCAAGTATTTTTTGGCTATTCAAGATTTTCTAAATTGTTGTGTATTTTGTGTTTTGTGTTTGTTTTAGATATTGAAGATAATTTTGGCTATTGAGATTCCATATGAATTTTAGGATGGGTGATCATTTTATGCAAAAAATCATCATTAAGATTTTGATGGAGATTTCATTGAATCTGTAGGTTGGGGTAGTATTGACATTTAATAACACTGAGTCTTCTAATTCATTAACAACAGATGTGTTTCCATTTATTTGTGTCCTTTCTATTTTCTTTCAGCAGCAATATTTTATAGCTGTCATTGTGCAAGTCTTTCATTTCTTAATTCATTCATCTTTTAATTTTTCAATGTTATTGTACACAGAGTTGTTTAATTTCCTTTTCACATTGTTCATTGCTGGTGTAAAGAAATGCAATTGATTTTTGTGTGTTGACTTTGTATCTGCAAATTTGTTAAATTTATCAGTTCTAAAAGCTTTTTTTGTGTGTGTGAAATCTTTGGGATTTTCTACAGATAAGATCATATAATCTGCCAACAGAGATAATTTTACTTCTTCTTTTCCAATTTGAATGCCTTTTATTTCTTTTTCTTGCCTAATTACTATAGTCAGGACTTTCAGTAATATGTTGAATAAAAGTGGCGAGAGTACGCATCCTTGTCTTTTTCCTGATCTTAGAAAAAAAGTGTTAGGCCTTTCAACATTGAGTGTGATGTTTGCTGTGGATTTTACATATATTGCTTTTATTATGTTGAGGTAATTTCCTTCTATTTCTAGTTTCTTGAGTTTTTTTTGTCATAAAAGGATGTTAAATTTTTTCAAATGCTTTTCTGCATAAATTGAGATAATCATGTTTTTTTTTTCTTCTTCATTCTGTTAATATGGTGTATTATATTGATGAATTTTCATATGTTAAACCATTCTTGCATCTCAGGAATGAATCTTACTTGGTCATGGTATATAATCCTTTGATATGTGGTTGAATTTGGTTAGCTGAGATTTTCTTAAAGATTTTTGCATCAATGTTCATAAGAAAAATAGGCCTTGAGTTTTCTTTTAGAATGAGTCAGAAAATGTTCCCTCTTCTACAATTTTTGAAAATGTTGGAGGATTGGTGTTAGTTCTTTAAATATTTGGGAGAATTCAGCTGTGAAGCCATCAGGTCCAGGGCTTTTTTTTTTTTTTTTTGTCAGAAGATTTTTGGTTACTGATTCAATCTCTTTACAATTTATTGGTCTATTCAGATTTTCTATTTCTTTGTGATTCAGTCTTGACAGATTTTATGTCTCTAACGGTTTGTATTTCATCTAGATCTAATTTGTTGACATCCAATTGCTCATACTATTCTCAATATTCTTATCATTTATTTAGAAGTGGAAGTAATTGTCCCTGGGGGGCAATAGCCAAGAGAAAAGGTCATAAATCTCTGATTTTAAAGGAATTTGTTGGGCCACATTACAAAGTATCTTTATCTTTTGGCCTATTCCTTATAGTTTGGCTTGTAGCTATCCAGAGCTAACAATGTACATACAACAGGAGGGACCCTGAATGGCACAAATTCCTGCCTCCCTGGCTAGTAAGTAGTCGACAGTCAGTCTGTTATTTATTATCATTTGGGCTATACACTCATGGGCTTGTTTTATAAGAGACCATGTTTCATGCAGCCTTTGAATACAACCTAAAAGGGATCCTGAATGATAGTAGTTTGCAGTTATGATATGATTTTGTTTGACAAAGACTGCAGTAATGGCCAATGCTGGTGGTGCCTGTGGCTATGGCAAGTCCTATTAAGGTAGGAATAAATATTGTCTGTTTTTCCCTGCTTCCTTAGGTTAACAGAAATAGGGAGGTACCTGGTAGACAATAAACTATGGGAATCCCCAGGGTAGCAACTGTACACTGGGGTATTGTTTTATTAGGGAAAACATGCAGAAGACTTGGCAAGGAAAAATGCATTAGGGGTTATGCCTATGTGTTTGGATCACAATAGAACCTGAAAGTGTCATTATTCAGGGCATAATGTACCCTTGAGAATGTTGTGCTTTGTTTAGCCAAAGAGAAAGAGTGGTTTGGGTGGTCAAGATCAGAGACTCAAGGGGTGAAAATGAAAAATCTGGAGGAGAGTAGCAAGAAAAGGCATAAGGAAGTGGGTGATCCTTTCCCCAGGGGGTGTCAATGAGTTTATTGACATGAGGCAGATGCTTCCTGGAGAAAGAAATAATCTCCACTAATTTTAGTAACCTCTATGAGATTTTCCTTAGGCATGGAAGTACAGGGCTGTATGTTTTAACAGACAGCAAGAAGTATAACAGAATCATGAGTTAAGGAGACAGGGAGCTCAGAAAGAAAAGCAAAACATATCGTGTGTCCAATTTGTGCCTTAGGAAGAGAAAGTCTACGGGCGTTGCCGGGGTGGATATTTCAGAATACTGGGAGAACTCGTCTCCAGTATACTGAGAGAAGTCATCTCCAAAGGGAAGGTTTTGGGTTGAGGCAATGTCATCAGAGGCAATGTCAATTCCAGCAGTGAGATTTTGGGCCAGGGTGATGTTATCTGTGATGTGGAACTGGAGTAGCCTTTCCAAGCGGGTACCCACTCTGGTTGATGTGGGCCTTCTGATTGTAAACCAATGAAAGCACCTAGATCAGTGAAAATAGACCAATAGTCAATAGAATTGTAAACAACTCTATATGACAGTATTTTTGCTTTTAGTCAAAGTTTAGGTTCAAATGGGTCTCTTGTCAGATGAGCACCTGCCTGGACCATGGAACTTTCTACAGTTAATAGGTCTCAGGAGAGTATGTGCCCTCTATCTTGCTTCCAGCCCCTGTGCAATAGGGTCAAGATTGAAAATATATAAAGATAGGTTAAGGTGTTGGACAAGATAGAGATTTTTAAGGGTTTACTTGTTGGGCTAGAATTTGAAAAGTAGTTGTTTGAGAACACCATTATGTCTCTGAATTAAAAATACTTTTTGGGACCTACTAAGGACATGAAAGTGCTATTAAATGCCTTTTCCAAAAGCTCACCATCGTGTATTCTAACAAGTGAAATGTATGTCTTAGTTACAGTTAGTAACGTCTGGAACTCTGAAGGGAGTAAGGAGTGTTCTGGCAAGGCCTTGTATTGTAGCCTTGGTATATGTAGAGATGTGGATGACTTTGATTTATTAATGTGTTTATCTATGAGGCAAGAGATTCCTAGGGACTTTTTACCTTGAAGGGAACAACTCTTTGGCAATGGCTCAATAGTTTAAATAAAAGTGAAGATAGAACGACTTGTTAGCCATGGCACCCAGTGGTAAGACAACTGCCTGAAGTTTGGCCAAATGATTGTTTCTTGGGTTCCATCCTGTATCAAGGACATTCCAGCTGAGGAATGGAAAGCAGCAACAAACACTCCACTGATCTCCACCGCACATGATGGTTAACAGTTCCATTCATATAGTGCAGAAATTTTCATTGCTGAGAGGTAAGAGAAAAATTTTCTGCTTCTCCCAAGTGCTACTAATGACCACACATTCAATGGTGAGGAAGGCATCACCCACCTGTGCTGCAGGCCACCAGCCCACCATTCCATTCAGCTTCCAGGTTAGCACTCAGAGATACATACTCAGCAGAGGTCGTTCTTCAAATTGCATCATTCAAAGACACATGGAGACAAAGCCAATTCACACAGCCCAGTGACTCTAGATTCTGAGGAGTGATAGGATAATTATCGCCCTCTTGCTGGGATCATGGCGGGAAATGGTATCTCGTGGTGAGTTGTTGGGAATGGGATAGGATGTCCATGTTAGGTTAAAGAGTCTTGAGTTGTGGCAGAACTCAGAAGAGGCAAAACAAGGCCATGCGAAACAGCATGTAAGAGTGTACAGCAGGATAAAGAGCTCTCCCAAATGGTAGAGCCCAATCAAGCTAGTCACTTAGGGAGCCATGAGCAGTTGAAGGGCATTTTTGAGAGACTTTCTGCCCAAATTTAGGATGATCCCTTCCTCATTGCCGATCGTGTTGAAAGCAATATTTATGTTATTTGAACTGAGTTTTTTGGATGAAGGGTCTGGACACTGTCAACAGAGTCAAAAAGCAACCTTTAGACTGGGAGAAAATATTTGTAAATCATATGTCTGATAAAGAGTTAATATCCAGAATATATAGAGAACTTCTACAACTCAATAACAACAACAAGAACAAAAATAAATAAATTGATTCAAAAATGGGCAAAGGCCTTAAAAAGACATTTCTCCAAAGAAAATATAAAAAGAACCAATAAGCACAGGAAAAGATGCTCAGTGTCACTAATCATTTGGGAAATACAGATCAACACCAAGATGAAATATCACTTCGTACGTGGAATAGAATGGCTGCTATCCCAAAACAAAACAAAACAGAAAATACAAGTGTTGATGAGGATGTAAAGAAGTTAGAACCGTTGTTGCTACTGGTAGAAATACAGAACGGTGCAGCTGCTATGGAAAATGGCATGGCAGTTCTTCAAAAAGCTAAAAATAGAATTGCCATATGATTCAGAAACTTCACTTCTGGGTACTGACAAATAAAAACGAAATCTTAAGCCCCCCAGCCAACTGATGGGACCTTCTCTTGGCCAAGGGGACCCCAGAGTAACCTTAAAAAATACTGAATTCTTGGTCTTGATGGAATAGGAGGTCAGACAGACCTTGTTATACCCACTCCCTCGCCAACCACAATTAGCCTTTCTTCCCTCAGTGCTAATGAGAAACCAGGCCTTTCTAAAAACTCCATTACTGATATCAACCAGCAGCCTGACTGTTTCCCTTCCCTGTTGTGGTTTTGACAAAAACAATTGACCAGCATTCCTTCCTGATAAGAGACCATCAACCACACGAGTTTCTGGCCAGTCTATGGAGAAGGCACAGTAAGAGTTTTCATGTCTTCTACTTTACCTTTTGACAGAAGACAGTTGAAACTCCACCCTTGGATCATACCAATGCTGCTATTTTTTGTACACAGCACCCATGAAGGGGCATGAAGCTCAACTGCACATGTACATATTTCTACTTTCATAAATATTCATGACTCCTCCTATCCCCTATTGCTAAGCACAAATTTCAGTTCACTTTGCCCTTCGCTCAAAGTGCCTGTTTCTGGCTTCTGGCTGGAGGCTACGCTTCCCAGCCTGTCAGAATGGCTGCAAAACTGTGAGAAATGAAGCTCTCCTTTCTAAATTTATGAACCTCGTCATTCTTCAGTGGACAGTATATACCCAAAGGAATTGAAAGCAGGGTCTTGAAGAGATGTTTGTACGTACATACTCACAGCAGAATTAATCACAATAGCTAAAACAGAAGCAACCCAAGTATCCATTAGCAGACGAATAGAGATGCAAAATGTGGTATATACAGTGGAATGTTGTTCAGCCTTCTGAAATCCTGACACATACTATAACACAGATGAAACTTGAGGATATTATGCTAAGTGAAATAGTCACAAAGAAAAAAGGTAAATACTGTATGATTTCACTTAGGTACTGAGACTACTCACAATCATTGAGACAGAATGTAGATTTGTGGTTGCCAGGGACTGAGAAAAGGGATATATAGAGTTTCAGTTTTACATGATAAAAAGTTCTGGGCCGGGTGCGGTGGCTCACGTCTGTAATCACAGCACTTTGGGAGGCTGAGGTGGGCGTTATCACCTGAGGTCAGAAGTTCAAGACCAGCTTGGCCAAAATGGGGAAACCCCGTCTCTACTAAAAATACAAAAATTAGCCAGGTTTGGTGGCAGGCACCCGTAATCCCAGCTACTCAGGAGGCTGAGGCAGGAGAACTGCTTGGACCAGGGAGGCAGAGGTTGCAGTGAGCCGAGATCACGCTGAGAGACAGGACTAGCTGGATTTCCTAGGCCGATTAAGAATCCCTAAGCCTAGCTGGGAAGGTGACCGCATCCACCTTTAAACACGGGGCTTGCAGCTTACCTCACACCTGACCAATCAGAGAACTCACTAAAATGCTAATTAGGCAAAAACAGGAGGTAAAGAAATAGCCAATCATCTATTGCCTGAGAGCACAGCGGGAGGGACAAGGATCGGGATATAACCCAGACATCCGAGCCAGCATCGGCTATCCTCTTTGGGTCCCCTCCCTTTGTATGGGAGCTCTGTTTTCATTCTATTTCACTCTATTAAATCTTGCAACTGCACTCTTCTGGTCCATGTTTGTTACCACTGGAGCTGAGATTTTGCTCACCATCCACCACTGCTCTTTGCCGCCATCGCAGACCTGCTGTTGACTTCCATTCCTCCAGATCCGCAGGATGTCCCCTGTGCTCCTGATCCAGTGAGGCACCCATTACCTCTCCCGATCGGGCTAAAGGCTTGCCATCGTTCTTGCACGGCTAAGTGCCTAGGTTCGTCCTAATCAAGCTGAACACTAGTCACTGGGTTCCACAGTTCTCTTCCATGACCCATGACTTCTAATAGAGCTATAACACTCACTGCATGGCCCAAGATTCCATTCCTTGGAATCTGTGAGGCCAAGAACCCCAGGTCAGAGAACACGAGGCTTGCCACCGTCTTGGAAGTGGCCCGCGGCCATCGTGGGAGCTCTGGGAGCAAGGACCCCCGGTAACAATGCCATTGCACTCCAGCCTGGCGACAGAGTGAGACTCTGTCTCAAAATAAAAAAAAGAAAAAGAAAAGAAAAAAGTTCTGGAGATGGATGGCGGTGATGGTTATACAACAATGTGGATGTACTTAATATCACTGAACTGTACACTTAAACATTGTTAAGATGAAACATTTTATGTGTATTTTACAACAATGAAAAAATGTTTTTTAACTGTAAGTGTACTTCTATATAAATCCTGAACAAGTACCTAGTAAACTGCATTTTACAATTTTAGGTTTTATCCAGTGAAGAAGAACATATCTGCGAGCCATTGTTTGCCAGCTGTGGAACTGTCCCTTTCTGAAATGGAAAGCAGCACAAGTTATTAAGAGGTGAAGTGGATATCATCAAAGTCTGCAAAAAGAGCTCTTCGAGCTATGGGCAAGTATCTTTACCTACTAGAAATGTTAGCACTTCCTGGGTTTATTGTTGTTTGGGAGTGCACCAAAGTTTGCTTTATTCCCATCAGATATCAAGGTCAACTCTATTATTTTCAGTTACATCCTACAGAGTTTTCACTGGATGGTAAGTAAAATCACCTTGTTTCAGTTCAGTACGTTGGTGCTGTCAAGGAGAGTGGAAAAATCTTAATCGGAGGTCGTCAAAAAGGGATGTGTTTATTTTACTGCATCAGATACAGAATAACATTAATTCCCAAACTAAGACTTGGGGTAATGTGAAACACTGGAAACTAATTAATATATAAATAGGCATTGTCCTATAAATATCAGAATGGTGCTATCCTTAGAAAAAAAACTTCTAAAGAGAATTGAAATAATTAAACAAAGGAAAATGTCTGTAGCATTTAAACAGAAAATGGAAAACTAGGTGTCTATCAGGATGAGTTGGAAAATATTTATTTCTGAAAAAAGTTCAAGTAGTATGAGTCAAAGACCTGAAAATAGAATGTAGCATCAGACTTACATGCTGTTAGTGTATAAATTAAATAACCTAAAATACTTTTCCACATCTAGTTGTCATTTCTTGTAAGATTCTTTTACTTATAAGAATGACAGGAGAACACTTTCCTCCAGTTGTTTTCAACCGTAATTTATTCTATCATTAAGAAATAACCGTAAAATATTTTTGTAGGAAGAATTTAGGAAGGATTCTAAATTGTCTTAAGCCCCCTAAACATACAGTCCTTCTTTTTTTTTTGGTAAGACTGCATCAAAACAATACATCAGAAGGGTTTGAAACCGCTTCCCCTATGCTTGCTGGAATATCAGATTTATTTGCTGGTTACCTCTCTCCTGAGATTTTTGACTTTTTAAAAAATTTAACAGTTATATAATCTCATTAATTTTCTAGAAATTAATCAGATTAATTAACTGAGCTATGAAACTGATATTATGCTCTTTTAAAGGTAAAAGAACTTAAGGCAGAGCTTGATGACCAATGATGAAGCAGCAAAAACAAACGGCTTCTACACCCTTAGACAGTTGGTGTAGACACTCAATTAACATAACTCAACTCGCTCTTCTTCTTCAATGAGTCCCCTGGTGCTGGGGCCAGTCTGTTTTGAATGTCTCTGGCAATCGGGAGAAACACAAAGTAACAGGAGATGTAGGTCAGCCCAGGAAAGAAAATGTTATTTGCGTGATTTTCTTTCTATATGTGACTCTGAAGACCTTTCTCCTTCCTAATTTTTAGTATCCAAAAATGTATAGGTGAGAAATTCAGATGGGCAACTGGAATATTGTCTACTTTCAGGAACATTGTTTTTGTTTTTCTATTCTATTTTAGAGCTAAAGCAACAGAAGGTTGAAAGTCAGACGCCTTTTCTCTGTCTTTCTAGTCTTGATGGACAACATCTTACATGGGGTGAGGCAAATATGCAGAAGCCAAGAGGGAGTCTACTGAGATTAGTGAAACAGGAGAAAGAAAAAAAAGGAAAGGAGTTTTGAAGACCTCAGATTAAGATTTTTCAACTCTCCTTGATAGCACCAAGGTA